>NC_000014.9:78096561-78248076 GCF_000001405.40 Homo sapiens | reverse complement strand
GAACCTTTTCCCTCTACTGAATCAACGTAAAATGTGATGGCATGAGTGATATGTGACATAGGTAGATTTGGAGTAGAGATCCACCCATGAAAGCTTCTCCATTGTTCCCTGGCTCCACCCAACCTGCCACAGGCTGACTTCATGCTAAATGAACTCTTCAGAGACACTGGTCCTGAAATTTATACACCTTAGCACCAAATCAATTCTTCACAACCATAAGGTTGTTCAGTAATTCAATATAGGCACATTCATAACCAAGAATGTTTTAAAAATAAACAAGTTTAAACTCATTTCAAGGTGCTGACAAACTCTCAATGAGCCGTGAGGGGACCGCTCTCTGGAGGGAGTGAGGATACCTCTTCATTAGCTACTGAGCTTCAAGGCTGCCCATAACAGGACGGGCTGAGCTAAACAAAAAGCCAGATGAAAATGCCACACCATAGCTCCACTATATTCCAAACAAGATATACATAATTTTTAAATCACCACCGAAAAGGCAAGACTAAATGTCAACATGAACAAGTCTAGTTGACCACCAAAGCATTCTATTTATAGACATAACACCCAGATGTACAAATCTAGGGCCTCTTCTCTGTCCCTCATTCTCCACAATGTTCAATGTGACTATGTTTTGGAATAAAGTTTTCCCAAGTGAGCTGTGTGGAATTCAGTCCGCGGCCAGAGCTAACAGTCTCACCAAATGAAAGAGAAGATACTGTGTCTATTACCTCATACCCATAGGTCCAAACTCTCCCAAAGCAACTACCTCCTGTGTCTTCTGGGTCTTACCTAGGGAATATACCCAACGGGGAATCAAAATAGCCCAAAGCACATAAAAGAGATGGGCCTGCACATTCTTCCTGGGGTGCAGCATGATGACATTTTGGAGCCAACAAGGCATGGAGAGCCAGACAAGCCAAGCAAACAGCAACACCGCAGGGGGGCTGGAGATAATGGACCACAGAAGGCGCCTCCAACAAGCTGACCACATCCATCTGAAGCTGCAGAGGCCCTCGCAGCTCTCCCTGCTCTTTGAACTGCTAAAGCAAGAAGTACAAAACGGACCTTCCATGCCAGGTGCAAGCCTTCACACCATCAAATAGCAGGGCCTAGACTGCAAATTGAGACAAGAGGTGCTTGGTGCACATTCTGCCCGCTGGGAATAAGCCCCCTGGTCTCAGTACTGTGACATGGACAATTTAGCAGAGGTTGGGTGGGGAGAATGGATGCATTTCTCTCTACCCACTTCACCACATTATCTTTGGAAAAATGGGCAGACATTATCTTGTTTTGTGTAGATCTATTTGACACTTAGCAGCTGCTGTGATTTCCTTTCCCTTCACATTTTACAGGTGACTTTTTCTGCTTACTTTCTAAAAATTAACTATGTGTGGAGGCAACGGTTATTTTCTAATAGTCTGTGATGCATTTTTGTGATTGATTAGACTTGATGACAATTACCAGGATCAACAGGCTCCAAGTAATCAACAGTAGATTCTGTTACCTCCCGCAACATCCTCTCTCACCTCAACCTTTGCACTGCTCTGTTCCAAGCCAGCCAAGTGTTACTGTTACGGCAGTTTATTTACTCTATTTATGTATGGGGAGAATAAATGAGTTAGGATGTGTGTTTGCCTTCTACAGATAGGGGTATCAATCCGTAGCCAGGAGATGATCTGAACCTTGTAGGAAAAAAAAACAATTATTAAAATATACATATTGCATTTAGCTATTAAAAAACCAATGGCACACAATCTGCTCTGAAGAAATTCCACTGGGAGCTGGAACACACACAAAATATAAAAAGAAAAAGAAGAGAAAAGCAAATTGTATACATATACAGTATAGAGATTTTTTTTCCTGCGGAAAAGTGCTGATCCAAACCTGCCCCAAGGAAATGAGTTCTTTTTAAACACAAAAATGCAATCAGGGATAATCAGCAAGCTAACAACACACTTGCAAACACCCTGGTCCCTAGAAAGGAAGAATGCCAGCTTTCAATACAAGTTTTGAGAACAGAACAGATCCTTTGGGCGAATGAGAAAACAAGTGATCATGTCAGCGTCTTCAGGCAGAACTTTCTCCAAAGCCAAGAAGCTCTGGAACAGCAGTCAGCTCCAGAAGGCACCTGCTTGTGAGAAGCACTTCAATAACCACATTCCCAAAATGGTTTGTAGACTGGGGTTGCCTCTTCCCCACCCCTTCTCCCAGTGGGTTCAGTGGAGGAAAAACAGAAGCCAAATAAGGACGATATATATGCCTGGCATCTCCAGCTCTGACAGCCCACCCACAGGAAGGGAGAAAGTTGTGATGCCCAACCCATTAGAAGAAAGGAGTGGAGACCCAGGCAGCTCCTGCAATAGCCCATGCATGACAAGACCTCTGATATGTTCCAGTCTCCAGCAGGTACCACCTGGGAAATAAATTTTGTTTTAATTTTTTTAAATATTCTTAAATAGCCACTGATAGCTAAGGTTCACATCAAGCACAACCTGCTTTAGGGGTTGGGATGTTCTGGAAACACTTAAGGAACACCTGCAGTCTTTAATTACACATCCCAATAGCAGGGCCTTATCTGAATGAAGAGATCTTGGGAATCGGTGGCAAGGCACTCACCTGGCCACACCCACCTGGCACCACCCACCTGGCACCAGCCATCTGGCCTCCCTTGATCTTGTACTAGTTAGTCCTTAACCTTGATTGTGCACAGGAATTATGTGGAGAGCTTTAAAAACATACAAATGCTTGGATCCCATGCCAAGAGATTCTGATTTAATTAGCCTGGGGTGTGGTCTGGAGTTTAAATTCCCCCAAGACAATCTTAACATGCAGCTAAATTGAGAACCACTGTTCTGCCCTATACCTTACACCACCTCCACGAAGAGACCAGTAGGGGATGGCAACATAAAACCCGTCTAAGAGAAACCAGGGCTTAATCCTAAAAGGATAGAAGGAAATGTGACTTCCTTGCCTCCTGTCACCCTAACCTCTCAACATACATACCTGTATGGTTGGTTCTCAGCTTCTCATGTCAGCAGTTCCTGCTACCCAAATCTAAGCCGTGAGTAAGTCCAGGAATTTGGATTTTAAGTATTTGTCAAGTTAAAGTTTGAGCCACCTCTCTTAGATCTAACCCCAAACAGTCAGATTTGGTGAGCAAGGGAGGGCAACCTAAGCCTCTGTGCCTCCCTGCTTCTCCCTGGGAAGTCACGGTTGAACCTGGGAGGTTCTCCAGGCTATGCTGTATACTCTCAGCTCCCTTGGAGGCTTGGCTGAACAACACTGCAGTCAATCTCTGTGCCTCTTTGCAATGTTCTCAGTACATGGAGAGGATGGGAAAGGGAACCACATCTAAAGAGGTACCTCATGTGAGAAATCCTCATTGCCAAAAACAAAAAGGTAAGAAGGGCCTGGCGCAGATGCCTCATCCACCTTCTAGACACCTCCCAGAGGGTTGGGAGGTGGGGTGGGCCCCAATAGAAGAACTGGGTTCATTTTTCTTTGCACAGGCATTCTTTATGTGAGGGATGATTAAGAGGAAGTGATGGGGAGTTTCCCAGCTATCCCTAAGGGTCCAAACCTCAAGGGCTCAGGAGAGACACAGGTAGAAATTTGCCAATTTCTTTTCTTTTTTTTTTTTTTCTTTTTTGAGACAGTCTCACTCTGTCACCCAGGCTGGAGTGCAGTGGTGCATTCTCAGCTCACTGCAACCTCCACCTCCCAGGTTAGAGCGATTATCCTGCCTCAGCCTTGCGAGTAGCTGTGACTACAGGCGTGCGCCACCATGCCCAGCTAATTTTTGTATTTTTAGTAGAGACAGGGTTTCATCATGTTGGCCAGGCTGGTCTCCAACTCCTGACCTCAAGTGATCTGCCCGCTTCGGCCTCCCAAAGTGCTAGGATTACAGGTGTGAGCCACCTTGCCTAGCCGAAATTCCCAATTTCTATCTGATTTCTTGCCCTGGGTTGACTGTGATAAACGGTGCTGCAGTGAGAGGGGCCAAGCTGGGGCAGACCCTGCAGCCTACTTCATCTAACCCTCTGAGTAGGGTACAGAGCCCAGGGTTCAGGGGTCAGGATTCTACTCCTGCTGAGATCTGACAGATTCTCCATTAAGAGTAGGCAAAGGATTTCCACTGCCTCCTTAGGGCAAGGGGCCCAGTGATCTAACATGCAGCTAAAGATATGCATCCATATAGAACTGGTTTGTATCAGGAGCCCCAGCCTCAGCCATCCCGTGGGTGGGTCTCTAGCAAGAGAGGGAGAGGGTCTTACCTTCTGAGCAGAGCTTGCCACCATAGCCAGTGGTAGAACAGTCACAGGTGGGGTGGCCGTCCAGGAGAAAGCAGATCCCACCATTTTCACAGGGACGCTCACCACAGGGTCCCTCGGCATCCATCTGGACACCCCGGCTCCCCAGAAGCCGAGGCTCCGAGTTTCCATACTTGAGATCCAGAATTAACCCCTTGAAGCCGGGCATGGCCTGAACTCCATCAAGGGTCAGGGCAGAAGGTCGTATGTCAGTAGGGACTCCACCAAGGAACAAGTCACTGACCACATCCATGTAGGGCCGCTGGGGCTGCAGCTCCCCAGACTGGCCCTCGCCATCAAGCATCAGCACCGTGCGCAGGCGGTCACGGCTCACCATGAGGAAGTGCCAGCTGCTGTCATTCACCTGCTTGTTGGACAGCACGGCAGTCTCGGCACAGTCCATGCTGAAGCGGAGCTGAACGCGGCCATCCACCAGGGAGAGGCATAGGAAGTCGCAGACGCCGCCATCATCCAGGTAGAGGAGCAGCCCCGTAGAGACGTTGGTCTTGAACTGGAAACTCAGGTCACTGCGTGTGCTGGCATCCCAGCGGAGGTAGCGGGCCCACTGGTTGGGGAGGCCCATGAACTCAAGGCCCAGGCAGAGCCCCAGCAGGGACCCCAGCAGGATGCTGACCTTCAGGGTGAAGAAAACCGAGTGGAGTGTGGAGCTCATTGTCGCTGCTGGGACAGAGCCCGGAGGAGCAGACAGGCCAGGGAACAGCCCGGAGAGGATCTCTCCCTTTGGCAATAGAAGTGGGAAAGACAAGACAGAGATGGGGGGACAGAAAGCACACAGGAGGAAGGCAGCACACACACAGATCCTGAGATAGTGGAGATGGAGGAAAGTGTACAAGAGAGTCCCAGAGGGGCACACAAGCAAGAAATTGAATAAAGAGGCAGTAGAAAAAGACAGGACCAGCAGAAGAGGAGGAAAATCAGGTGGGGAAGTGAGGGACTGGAGTAAAGAGGAAAGCGTCTTTCTCCAAGAAAAGATCTCAGCTATCCATGTGGATCCGGAGGCCTTGACTCAAGGAGGAGAAGGTGCAGGAGAGTAGGAAGAAGCCTTCAGCGATGCACTCCTCCCAGCGGACCCCCAAATGCCCCAGCCAGGGAGGCCAGGGACAGGGAGGGCCGGGGTGCTGTGATGGAGGAGGAGTGAGTGGTGAGGTGAGCCAGGTGACAGGTAGAAACAGGCCAAGGACCACTCCTAAAGTTCTACCTCCTAGCAGCGGCAGGCTGTGGGGAGGGGGGCAGCTAGAAGCCCAATGCTCAGACAGAGCAGGGCCCTGGGCAGAGCGCAAGCAGACTCAGGCTTCATGGTGCGGCCAGAAGCAGTGCTGCCCATAACTTGCCTCCCAGGACTCCAGAGAAAAGACCTGTGGGAAGAGGGGGAGGGAGAAGGAGAGGAAGATTAGGACCATATATCAGGAAAACATTGCATCCTATTTCACAAGTATTGATGGAATGCTGACTTCGAGCCAAGCTATTCTAGTGATTGCTACAGTGCTTAGTGCTTCAAACAGGAGGGAGGCCGTGGGTTCTTCCAGAGCCACTACAAGACGACCAGGTCCTAATGATGCACTCAGGTTTTCCATATGTAAAAATAATAAAAATCCCCAAAGCCATATCAGCACATTATTAGAATATTCACATCACAAGGTCACATTGTCAAAGTGTATTTTTAAGATAAGTGCTAACATTTTATATATTCAAATACCCACACCTAATTTTTACTTATTTACCTATTAAAAGCTTGCAAATGACATTAACTTTTTTCTAGATTTTTCCTTTTCAATTTGACAACTCACTGTAGGAAGCCTAAGGCAAATTGCTACCCCTAAATTTGTGAAAGAAATGTTTATAAAAATCAGTGAAAATAAACTGGAAGGTGAGTAATGAGTAAAATAATCCTCCTCTCTTACTGAATATTAAGAGAGGAGGATTATTTTATTCCTTCTAAAAAAAAAAGGCTGAGTTTGAATCCTAGCTCCTGTATGTGGCACTTTGAGAAAATTTCTTAACCTATTTGAGCTTCTATTTCCTCATTTGTAAAGTAGAGAAAATAATAGCCTCTTCCCAAGATTGAAGAGAGGAATCAATGAAATCAGGTATAGGAAGATCCTAGCATAAGCCTTTTTTTTTTTTTCGAGACAGAGTCTTGCTCTTTTGCCCAGGCTAGAATGCAGTGGCGTGAGCTCGGCTCACTGCAACCTCCACCTCTTGGGTTCAAGCAATTCTCCTGCCTCAGCCTCCCAAGTAGCTGGGATTACAGGCATGTACCACCATGCACAGCTAATTTTTGTATTTTTAGTAGAGACGGAGTTTCATCATGTTGCCCAGGCTGGTCTCAAACTTCTGATCTCCCCATCTAGGCCTCCCAAAGTGCTGGGATTACAGGCATGAGCCACAGCTGCTGGCCACATGAGGCTTTATACATAGGAGGTGACAACAAATCCTAGGTCTCTTCCTTTATCTCTGAAGTGGGAAGGGACAGGAGGAGGGGTTATTTGTGTATGTCTGTGTATGTGTGGATGTATGTATGGCTATAGAGTGAGCAATGTGTAAAAACAAAAGTACTGAAAAAGATTATGAAAACTGCAGAATGGATGACAACTGAATAGTTAAGAAATTCCTAGAGTGACACTGGATAGTTCCAAATGACCTAGAGTATATTACATATATTTTATGATGATGTAGAAACAGTTAGAAATGCACCAGCACGCAGTCTGGTTTCTGAGGGCAGACTCTGGCCCGCCTGAGTTCTCTGTTCAGATCAAACAGTGAGTGTGATTTCTAGGAGCTGTGCAAGTTGCTGCTTATTACCTGGCACATTTGATAATTCACCATGGGCTCCATCAGAACATTACTATCCCCTATTTTAATGATAACCACATCAGCAAAGCTAGTTATTACCCCTTCTTTGAAGAGGAAGCTGCTGTTCCTTAACCAGGAACAAACACCTATTCCCAATGAACAAACAAACCCAACGAACAAGGGGCTGATTAAATCCATTATAAGGAAAGGCTTTGTTCTATAAAAGGCTTTGTCCAAGCAATGTTCCCTAAAGTGTGGCACAGGTGCTGTGCCAAACTTCCATAGACTCCGATAAGGAAGGTACCAGGTTCAAGAGGCAGAAGAATAATCCCAGAGCTGACAAATGAGAAATGGGTTTTAACGGGGAGCTTACATCCAGAGGAGAGAGTCCAGTGGTGGTGAGCTGGGTAGGAGAGCTGCAACTGCTTGCAAAAGGCATGCAGTTTACACAGCATATTTACTTAGCACCCTCCCCATAACAGTCCCTATCTGGCAACCTTCATTTACCCTAAAACAAAGGGCCTTGATCCCCTGTATAGCCCATGTTCCATGGGACCAGCCAGGGGCTTATATGTTCCTCATAGAGAAGGAATGAATCTCCTGGTTGGCCACTCCCAGGTTCCCTAGCGTAGGACACACACATTCAAGTGCATCTGCCATGCAGGGTCATTCTCAGGGTATGCTCAAGTTATTGTTATCAAGTGCTTTTACCATACACACAGGTACCCCCAGTGGTTCAAGGGATGCTCAGCTGAGACATGGACACAGGAGTATGCTGGTGCCAACTCATACAGGCTTGTGAGAGCCAACTGCTAAAATTTCAAAAACTTTGACTGGTTGGCATGACTTTGGTAGCATGAAATAAACAGGCAAGGAGTATTTACACCCCAGAAAAAAGGCAAACACCACAAAGAGTATTTGAGAAGGTGAAATTTAAGTAAAGACTTGAGGCTATGCACGGTGGCTTGCGCCTGTAATCCCAGCACTTTGGGAGGCCGAGGTGGGTGGATCACCTGAGGTCAGGAGTTCAAGACCAGTCTGGCCAATGTGGCGAAACCCCATCTCTACTAAAAATACAAAAATTAGTCCCAGTGGCAGGCGACTGTGATCCCAGCTACTCGAGAGGCTGAGGCAGGGAGAATTGCTGGAACCTGGGATGCAGAGTTTGCAGTGAGCCAAGATCGTGCCACTGTACTCCATCCACTTGTTCCAACAGAACAAGACTCTGTCTCAAAAAAAAAGAAAGAAAGAAAAGAAAAGACTTGAAAGAGTGTGAGGGAATCAGCCATGTAAGTATCTGGGAAGAATGTTCCAGAAATAATAGTCAATGTAAAAGAACTGAGGCTGGAGCAAGCTGGTATACTTGAAGAACAGCAGGAGGTAGGTGCTGTTGGAGCGGAGTGAGTGGAAGACATGAAGCCGGACATGGATAACAGGAGGGTAGGACATGAAACGTGACACAATTTCTAAGAATATGATTCCTTGTATGAGGTGAGGTATGCCAACCAAGTCAAAGGGCAACATCTCAAAGGAAAGAGAAAACCCTTCAATTCAACTGTTTATTGAGCTCCAATTCATTCCAGGCACTACTGGATCAAAGCAAAATAAAGACACCAATCTCACCCTCCAGGGCATCACAAACTAGTGGGGGACAAGTTTACTTCAGAGACAGTAAAGCACGGCAATTAAGAGCCCAGGCTCTGGAACCAGATTGCTGATGGGGGGCTCCCTGGAGGCAATGACTGCTTCAACACGGTGTCTGCCACAGGGCCTCGTCATGGAGCTGGAGTTTGGGAAGCACTTGTAGATAGAATGAACAGTAAAAGCAGAAGTGGAAGAATGTTCCTGTGGATTATTTGACTTCTGTTCCATGCAGTGGCCTCCACACAACCCCACTTTACACAAGGACATCAATCCTGAACCCCCATGCCTCTCTGGATGCCAACCTCACATGACCCCAATGAGCAAAGCAGCACATGCTTAGTGACCTGAGGAAACCCATGAATGAAAAACTCTGCTGCCCAGAAACATTCCCTTGTGGGGGAAGATCATGGGCACTTAGCCTGCTTTGTCGGGGCCACACACCCCTTCCAGGCTGAGCCTCCCCATTCCTTCAGTCCCTCATCCTTCCCCTCCAGCCCAGACCAGCACTGGGGGATACCACCATTCCCTGCCCTGCATTGTGGGGGATCAAAAAGGCTGACTGAGGAAACCCAAGCTTTCTTTCCCACAGGCAGAATCCAGTTTCAGAAGTGATAACATCACAAGTGGGCTTATGTAGACTTAACCCTCTATGGTCTATCCACATTCTTTCCTACAGCCCTTCCTTTTCATTCCTAGTTTTGGACATTCCTGCAGCCTCTGGGAAATTGCCAAAATGGCCAAAAGCTAGAGATGCCCTTACACTAAATATCGCAGGCCTCCAACTGCTGCCAGCGTTTATCCTTCAGCCTTCTTTGCCCCTCTGGTGGGGCATGCTAGACTCAAGAAATGGCAAAACGGGAGCCAGGGAGCCCTCTTCACCTGGCCAGACAACTGCCACCCTCTACTGAACCATAGGAGAACGCAGGCAGCCACGCACACAGGTGGTTTGCCCCAGAGCCTGCATGCAGGGCCCGGGCTGGTGCAGAAGCTCAGAACACTTCTCTGTTGTGTGGGAATCAAGCGAGAGAGGGAAAGTGAGTGACATTATCTAATTGTCAGCTAATTTACATAATTATCGAACGGCACACTTTTTATGTGGGGTTAACATCTTTGCAAATGTCTCATAAGCCGGCTGCTTAGGAGGGGGCAGGGTGGTGTGGTGGGGGGGGCTCACACAACTCTGACATGTGGGCTATTTGCCACAAGGTGTGGCTCAGAAGATCTGGCTGCCATTTGCCCTCCCCACCCCTCCTTCCAATTTCATTCCTCCCTTTTCCAACTGCCTGGAGCTTTAGCTGAGCTTGAGACAGACTCAAGGAAGTCGGACTGTCTACAAGTGGGTTTGATTTAGGAAGTCACGATGATGACTGTCCTTGTGCCCAGCCTTTGCGGGCATCCCACAGTCCCCAGGTGGGGCTTACCAGGTTTTCTTCCAGAAGCTTCCTATGACCTGCCCTCACCAGGACTGGAAAATCTCTCCAGTGGCTCTCTGGTGGTTTTGCCCCATGTTCACTGCTCCCCTCACCCCACTTTGCAGGTAAATGATTTTCACCACCAATCTCGTTCTGTGTCATTCAAGGTGAGGTTCATCCCAATCCCAAATCATATGATCCAGTTTAGTCAACTGGGACATTCCAATCTCTTGGCCACAGTGATTAGTTTCAAGATGGGTCTCTCACCCAGACTTGAAGTTGAATTTGAGTTAATGCCGGGACTTTCACTGGAATTATCGTGAAAAGGATCCCCTCTCTCTTCTTACCACATCAACAAATTATTAGAGTGAAGCTCAAACTTGACAGACACCATCATTACTGGTGGAGTATGATCCATCTCCACCATTGGAGAGGATTTTGTCTAATAATGAAAACAACAAGGAAGAAATCAGAGCCAAGAAATAGATACAAACAGATTTCTAGTGGTGTTAACACCTAGATCTAGCCAGACCTAAAGCCCAATGAATCCTGTGACTTCCATTTCATGAACCAAAACTTTTTTTCCTTTAGCAAGTTTGAGTTGGGTTGTGACCAAGAGTCCTGACTCATACACTCCTAATACTGGACCATAAAAAACTGTTGTCACTGACAAACTAGCAGAAGCTTCCATCTCATATGGCCACCTACACCCAGAACTCCCTGTAACCTGAGCCTCATGTCTTACCCACCTTTGCCATCAATGCTCTCCACACCCATTTGCCCATGCACTTGAACAAAGGCATAGGATATGGGCTTGTTTCTCTTCTTGTGTGTTTTGCAGGTGGACAGAGGCTTGTTCTTATACAAGAACCTCAGAAATGTGCTCCCTCAATTAAACTGTACCCCTCCAGACACCACACCATTAGGGCAAGCTCACATAGTCAGCACTATCTATCTTAATACAACAGCAAAGGCTCTACTGCATGTAGTGAGGGAGGTTAAGGCATGAATTCTCTCAAAGATATAAAAGTAGTTCAGGCTAGTGAGAGAGAACATGGGCTTTGGAGGCAGGCACAGCTGAATTTAAACCCAGACTCTCATTCCTATAGCTATTTAACCTTGGGCAACTCTCTTGAGTCTTTCTTCATCAAAAAAAAGGGGGGGGGGAATAATACCTATCTCATAGGGCAGTTTTGAACTTCATGAAATTTAAAAATTTATAAAAATGTAACTACTTTTGGAAAATTATGCTGGCAGTATCTACTAAAGCTGAACATTTTTACCCCAGGACTCCACAATTACCCTTTTAGGTATACACGAACAGAAATGCTTACAAATGTCCAACTGAAAATATGCATGAGAATGTTCATGGCAACACTATTCATAATAGACAAAACCTAGAAAATCACCCAATGTCTACCTGCAGTAGAGTGGATAAATTGTAGTCTATTCATGCAAAATACTATACAGCTTTGAGAATGATTGCTCTTCATCTCGACAGAAGCGTGGATGAATCTCACATACATAATATTGAGCAAAGTAAGACACATACTGTATGTGCTTCATTTATGTAAACCGAAAAGAGGCAAAATTATTTATTCTATGCTGTTAAATGTCAGAATAGTGGTTAATGATTAGAAGAAGGCAAAGGGGTGAAGGAATCCTGTTTCTTGATCTGGGTGATTCTGCGTAATGTGTTCAGTTTGTGAAAATGCAACAAGGGAGCTGTATACTTACAATGTATGTGCTTTTCTCTATGTATGCTATATTTCAATAAAAGCAACTTAATGCACTTCCTGATACATATATATGTTAATCTATTATTTTTGTTATGTCACTTGAAGAAGGGTTTTAAAGAAAATTATTACTAGTTCCTGTTTTGTAGGCTGGAACTTCCTTCTTACAGTTCCCCAAGTCAAAACCAACCTCTCTTCTAGAAAACTAAGGGCAAATATCCACCATGCTTTGCAATAGGAAGCTCACTGTCCTCTCTTTTGAGCCCACTCTATACCCTAGTCCTCTCTCCCATAATTTGGTCATGTCTAGGAATACCACCCTTCTTGCATCTTCTCTTCTTTTCCTGAAATCTGCGGAGCTGATCCTAGTCTTAGTCACCAAGCCTTACCCTTTAGGAAAAAGAAGGGGAAACAGCCTCCAAGGACCTTAATTCTGTTCTTAACAAATGGACACATAGAAAAGAGCATTTGAAGTTTATATTGTGCTGAAAGCGGAATGGAGATGGGGAGAGACAGGAAGAGACTTTTTTTTTAACCTTTAACTATAACACTTTTTTTTTTTTTTACTAAAAACTAAGTTTTCCCAAGAACTAAGAAGTCATGTCAGGCTAACCTAAATTCCTTTTCTGTCAAGAATACTGATCTGTTATGGTAGAGATACACATGAGTTATATATGGACTTCAGCAGATCTTCTCATGATATGAGAACTGTGAGGCAGACAGACCAAGAAGACTGGTCACTGGCTAAAGAACAGCATTCAAAGAAGGCGCAAACCCATTAGGACACAGGCTCTTGTGGGAGGTCAGGCCTGATCTCATCTTTCATGTTTATCAAGAGCCCCAGTGAAGATGGAGAGAGCCAAATAATCATGTGTGTAGATGAACTGACACTGAGAGTTATGAGTGTGCCAGGTGAGGCTGAAGGGACTCCAAGAGATCATGATAGGCTAAAACTACAGCCTATATCTAATAAGACAAAATTTGATGGAGATAAATGGAAAGGAATGCAACTTGATCCTCCAATATAAACAACCCATAAGGATGGAAGGTACAATTTGTAACTATATAGTAAACAAGAATTGAGAAATTAAATTGACAAAAAGACACACACACACACACACACATATATATATACACATATATATATATATATATATATATATATAAAAGCATTTGTGGCTGCCAGATAATCAAATGTAATTTTAGACTATGTTAATTGAAATATAACTTATAGGAAGAAAGAGATCATCATCTGTGTCAATCTGACCAGTCACTGAATTTTTATTCTGAGTCATACTCTGAGAAAGGTGTAGGTAAGCTGAAAGATAGTGAATGAAAAGAAAGTTTTTCATTTATTTTGTTTAACCATGGAGCACCCATGTTCCAGACATACAGATAAATAAATAAAAATAGCTCAAGCCCTGAAAGGCACTTATATGTTAGTAGAAAGGAAAGACATGAGCCTAAATAATATAAGGAGGTGGACCAAATGTGAGAAGCAGACTCTGCCAAGTGTGGGCTTGATATGGTGATGGTTAGCCTCTAGGGTCCAAAGTAGAAGACTGGTGCTAGGATGAGTGCCCCTCTCATGCAGGCGGGATAATGTAGTGGTTAAAGGCATGGGCTCTAGAGCCAGACTTCCTGGGTTCAAATCTCAGACCTGCTACTTGATGCCTATGTGACCTTGAGCCCATCACTTATCCACTCCATGCCTCCGTTGTCTTCTCTGTGAAACAGATGATAACAATGAATTATCATACGTAGGCACTTAGTACAAGTGAAAGCCCTTAGGACAATGCTCAGCACAGATAAGTACCAAATAAATGTTATCTACTGTTGCTGTCCACTGTTGTCCTTGATGCTTATTATTTCATGCTAGCAGCATGGCTAATGTTGGTGTCTCATGGGATGTATTAGTCCATTCTCAAGCTGCTAATAGAGACATACCTGAGACTGGGTAATTTATAAAGGAAAGAAGTTTAATGGACTCATGGCTGGAGAAGCCTCACAATCATGGCAGAAGATGAAAGAAGAGCAAAGGGACATCTTACATTGGGGCAGGCAAGAGAAACCTTGTGCAGGGGAACTCCTCTTTATAAAACCATCATATCTCATGAGACCTACTCACTATCAGGAGAACAGCTTGGGAAAGATCTGCCCCCATGATTCAATTACTTTCCACTAGGTCCCTCCCATGACATGTGGGAATTATGGGAGCTACAATTCAAGATGAGATTTGGGTGGGGACACAGCTAAGCCATATCACAGGGACTGCTTAGGGAGAATAGGCTGGGTAGATGGACTTCTTTAAATTTCATTCCAGTGTCACAGACAATGTGGAGAGTCATACATGAGTCTCTATAGGAGAAATTTTTGGAGGTGTCAGGGTGTTTGGGCTAACACAGGCAATGCAGCAGTGGCAGGAGCAGTGTCCACAGGAGTAGGAAGCATTCTTTTTTTTTTTTTTTTTTTGAAGCATACTTAAATTGGAAAAAAGATCCCACGGTTTCTCTATTGCCCTCCAGGATAGAATTTTGTCTAGTGAACGGAAGTTCTACAGAGAGTATTTATGTCTTTATCTTAGAAGCAGATTACCTCCAAATGAAGCAGGCTCCCTGTTACTGGGGATGACCCAGAAGAGACTGGACATCTTTAGGGGTTCTATGTCCAGTACTAAGTAGGTCTATACATGGAATACAATACAATCCAGAGGAACAAGATGACTCAGGGCTGGTGCGGTCAGAGGTTTCTCAGAGGAGAGGAACCTGCAAGGAAACTTGAAGGACAAGTAGGGCATAAGCAACTGCGGAAGAGAAATCTGATGTCAGGGAAAGACCACTAGATTGGAAGTCAGAACCAGACTGTCTTTTCACTAACTATTGGCCAAGCAACCATATGGATACCTCTGGATCTATTCAATTTTTTATTCTTCTCCTATAAATTGGGAAGAACAATGAATACACCTTCCAGGATGTGCACATCAAAGACTACACAAAGGACAGAAATAATCATGCCCTCTTACCATGCCTTGACAATCTTCTAAGGTTCATACCAAAAGCAACTCATGGCAACAGTCTCTTTTCCACCTACTACCTATACTCCATCCCCAAGGTAGCCTAGTTGTTGCACCCTGAGTTCTCTAGTGGGTGAAAACCAACAACAACAACAAACTCTTCTCTCACACACCAAAGAACTCAGGCCTTGTAAGGTGCCAACAGGCTCCCGAGCAACCTCAGTACAGCCAGGAACCCAAGAAGCTGTGGCCATTTACTTTTCAGCCTCCTCCCTTCTCTCACCCCCTCCTCCCTGGCCAGTGGGCCTCCCCAGCCTGGAGTTCCCAGCCATGGTTTGGAAAGCCATCTGGCTGCTGGGAGAGTTAATAATTTATAATGAAGATAATCACCCTTCAAGATCCTCCCCTCTTGGGACCATTAAAAAAGATTCAATTGAAAGCCAGTGAATTCTTTACATGAGGGGATAGGGAAGAGAAGCAGGGAGGGCTGGGGGAGAGAGAAAAAATGGAGAGGGAAAAGGAGGGGAAAATGAACTAGGTGCTTAGCTGATCTTTCCCCACAAAGCGGGTAAGGGGAGAGGAAAATTATTCAGCCCTAGAGGACAATCTTATCCAGCTTTCGCAGCACCAGCCCAGCAAGAGTGCAATTTACGAGTCTTTTCTCCTAGCCAACTCTCTCCACACAAAGAGGGGGAAAAAAATCAAACACATGTAAGAGAAGGGGAGAGAGGCGCAGACAAGAGAAAATAAGCCTGCCCAGCAATCATGTCTGGGGCTGCTGGGAGGGCTCTCTCTGTTCTCTTTCCAGGACACAGTAAAGCCCCCACTGTGCTAATTATTCCCATTACTTGACAAATTCTCCATTAATGGAGCAAGAGGTGCCAGAGCTGGTGAGGAGAACAGAACAAACTGGCAAAGGCTCTGGACAGATTTGAACTGTGTGAACCCAGACCAGACAGCCCCCAGCTTCACCACAGGGTGAATGTGGGGCCTGGCACAGCCCCATCTACCGGGCACACCTCACAGGTATGAGGCACAGACCACACCTCCTGCAGAGCAATGTGATGCCAGGGGGCAGGAAGCAGGGGCAGCAATGTGCCCACAAAAGGTATTTCCAGGAAGGGTTACAATGGGGGTGAAGGCTGAGCCTGGGAGCCAGGAGCAGATGACACACAGCCCCTAGAAAGGGGACAGTGTAGATCAGTGTGCTCAGGACCCAGACCCATGACAATTTGGTCCTTTTGTGATTTTGGAAAGCCAGTGGAAAGGCTGCTACACAGTTCTTCCAGCACACACACCTTACAACACAGCAGCAACAGCAAACACTCATAATACACTTGCTCTGGGCAACGCGCTATGCCAAGTATGGTACACGTGAAGTCATTTAATCCTTACAAAACCTCTATGATGTAGGAACTATTATTATCCCTATTTTGGAGATGAGTAAACTGAGGCCTCTGGAAAATGAAGTCATTTTTCCAAAGTCATATGCTAATAAGGGTGCAGATCTCAGCTCCTCACTTCCAAAATGACAATGAGGAGAAGGAACAACAGTCATGGCAAAAAGGACCACAGCCATATTCAGCCTATTTATTGCATGAATTTGGCCCTATGTGTAGCCAAGGACAAGGCCATTAAGAAGCTCATCATCCAAAATACAGCAGAGACTGCAGCCATCAGGACATGCATGAATCATGTATCTTCAAGGCTTTTGTGCCTCCCAAGCTGTATGTGAAACAACATTACTACATGAGTAGTGCCATTCATAGCAAGTAGTCAGGAATCACTGTGATGCCTAGAAGGACCAAACACCCTCACCCCAATTTAGAGCCAAGGCACTACACCCCTGACCTCTGCCAAAGTCCCTGTAAGAAGCTGAGTCCTCAAGGACTAAAGAAAATCTATTCTCTGGGGGAGAAAAAGAATATGGATACCATATGTTGAATGAATGAATGAATAACCGCAGAACTGGGTCTAGCTCCAGAGTTTATGTGATGCCCCTCACCCAATCTACCATCTCTCCTCCTCTACCTTCAGGCTCCCCAGGGTTTCCTTACCCGTTGACAGGATGTTCCAGGTTTGGCCCTGCATCCCAAGACCTCACAGGGGAGGCCGTAAGCTGCACTCCTATCAATTCTACTACACCAGTGTTTCTTTTTCTCTTGGACTATATACGGTTCTCCCAACAGGTATCCCTGCTTCCACCTTTGCTCCTTATGGAATATTTTCCATACAGCAGTCAGAATGACCTTTTAAAATGGAAGTCATCACTCCCTCATCCAAGACCCTCCAGTGGTTTTCAACATACTCAGAATGAAATCCAAAGTCCTCCCTGTGGCCTTTGAGACCCCACATGGCCACGGTCTGACACCAGCCACCTTTCCAGTCTCATCTACTACTCCTCTTCCCCTTGTTCACTGTGCCCCAGCCATGCTACCTCCTTGGTGTTTTCAGAACTCAATAAGTGCAGCCCAACCTCAGAGTCTTTGCAATTTCTTTTCCCACTGCCTGAAATGCCCTTCTTCAAACCTTCTCATGGCTGACTCCCTCTTCTCTGGGTCCCCACACTCCAGTGTCTCCTCTAGGACAAGTTTTAGGACTTGCAGAGCTTAGAAGGATGGCAGGTTTAGTGCCTGACACAGCTAGCATTCCCCAGCCTTCTCTCCTTCCATAGGAACTGTACCCCTCCATGTCACCCCAGCCTCTCCATCACCTAGGAAAGAAGAATAAAAGATGCAGGTCCTCCCGACAAACAACTAGACTTCAATTCTGCCCTTTGCTGAGGAAGTCACTGCCAGAGAGAGAGAGAGAGAGAGAGACAGACAGAGACAGAGACAGAGACAGAGGTGGCTAGAAGGGATCTAGGAGGCCAAGACGGGCAGATTGCTTGAGCTCAGGAGTTTGAGACCAGCCTGGACAACATGGTGAAACCTTGTCTCTACTAAAAATACAAAAATTAGTCAGGTGTGGTGGCTCATGCCTGTAGTTCCAGCTACTTGGGAAGCTGAGGCGGGAGGATCACTTGAGTTCAGGAGGCGGAGGTTGCAGTGAGCCGAGATCGTGCCACTGCACTCTAGCCTGGGTGACAGAGGGAAACCCTGTCTCAAGAAAAATACAAAATAAATAAAAATAAAGGGATCTACATTGGAAAAGCACTTTGGTCAGATGAACTTAGCATCCTTGTCAATGGCTGAAGAGAACTGGAGAGGGAACAGTGACCCAGTGAGCCCATCTGTTGCAACATCCTTAGGTCCCCACTTATTATCCCCTCCACTGCCAACCCCTAGAGAGTATATGGTGCTACCAACCCTCACACTGTGTCCTGTAGGAAGACATAAACATGTGAGGCATAAAGAAGGAAGACAGTGGCAAAGAAAAGACACAGCAAGAGGGCACACTTCAGACCCTCCCAGGCCAGGGCAAGTATTAGGACCTGCAGAGCTTAGAACGATGGTAGGTTTAGTGCCTGGCACAGAGTCGATCATAGACATGTGCTTGCTGACTGGACTAAGGTGGGAAGCAGACGGAAATTTGAAGGATTCAAGGGAGGGATTCTGGTTCGGATCACTAGCAGACCAGTTCTAGAACTTCACCCCTGGCAGTAGAATAGATCACAGATGCCCCTCCTGGAAGATGAGGAATACCAGATCTGGAGAGGACAGTGAAGATCGCCAGCCCAAGCCCCTCATTCAATAGATGAAGAAAGAAGAACCCCAGGGATCATCAAGCAAGTGTGCAAGATTACATGACTGGACGGTGGCGGAAGTGGCACTACAGCTCAACTATCAGGACCCTTTGACCGGGTTTATTTCCATTATAACAGGGCTTTCCTTTCTTAAGCCACAAGACTCTGATTGAAAAAAAAAAAAAGAAGTAAACCCCAAAACATAAGACAGTTAAAAGCAGAGCTTCTCTGCAGAAGTAGGAGGTGGAATCTTGCTTCCCAGCCTCCCCCATGACGGCCACAATAGTCATCAAGATTTTATAGTGTGAAACTCTACAGAGTCCCAAAGAACAGTTTCAAAACCACTGCACCTATACCAACCTCAACATTTAAGGGACCATCCCTAGAATCTCCTACTTTCCCCTCAAAAAGCCACAGAGGAGCTGTCATTTGCACAAATGTGCAAAAAAATTCTTGAACAGATTTTTCCTTTTTACTCATTTTTCCTTTTTACTCATTTCCTTTTTACTGAGTCTTATAACTTTTGCCAACCTCACACATCTGAGCATGAGGGAACCATCAGTAAATACTCATTTGGGGGACACATTCCTTGAGGTTATCACCGTCCGCATGAAAGGGAGTTGCTCATTGTTTGCCCTAGATTCCCCTGTAGTACATTTCAAGGGGTGTCCCTGCCCCAAGGTTCTGGTATTCTGGGATTCAGTTAAGAGCTAGACTAGAGTCAGATAAAACTGGATTCTTATTCCAGAGCTCTACCACTGAGGAGCTTTGTAACCTCTGACAATTACCTAATCTCCCTGAACCTCAGTGTTCTCATTTGTAAAATGCGAGAGGTAATATTAGCACTTACATGAAAGGGGTATTGTGAGGATTCAGTATGGAATAAAATGCAATAGGCTCCCAGCACAGACTGGTAGATAACAAGCATTCAGTAAATGTTAGCCATGACCATTATCATCATTACTATTTTTCTGTTCACCTTACTCACGCTATGATTTTAGAGATCTAGCCGGGCACAGTTGCTCACGCCTGTAAACCCAGCACTTTGGGAGGCCAAAGCAGGCAGATCACTTGAGGTCAGGAGTTCGAGATCCCCCTGCTAACATGGTGAAACCCCATCTCTAGTAAAAATGCCAAAATTATCTGGGTGTAGTGGCAGGCGCCTGTAATCCTAGCTACATAGGAGGCTGAGACAGGAGAATCGCTTGAACCTGGGAGGCGGAGGTTACAGTGAGCGGAGATCACGCATTACACTCCAGCCTGGGCGACAGAGTGAGACTCTGTCTCAAAAAAAAAAAAAAAAAAGAAAGAAAATTCAGCGATTTCTCCCATAATGTTGTGTAGTGGTTTGATTGGGTTTGATTGTATTAATGTCTCAAATTCTTCACTCTCCCCATCTCCATACCCTTGGCAATTTAACATCACTGAGCCCAGCCCTGGACACTAAGCTCAGACATGTGACTTGCTTTCGCTGAATGGCATATTAGCAAAAATGACACCAGCAGAGGCCTGAAAAGCATTTTCATATTTTCTGCTTGCTCACTCTTGCTCCTTTGCCATGAGAACATGCCCACGCTCGCCTCCTAGAGGATGAGACACATAGAATAGAACTGTCATCCCAGTTTTCCTGGCCAAGGCTTAAACTCTATGACGTTCTAGAGACGCAGTCCTGAGGCAGCTAAGGAAACTTAAGTCCAAGTCTTAGCTCCAAATTTACTACGAGCACTTAACATAGTAAGTTAAGTAGAATGGAACTTCCAAGCCTATAAGCACCACGATGTACTTCAGCCTCGTCTGCTTCGGTGTTAACTGCCTATGCTGAAGGACGTCACCGCAGAGAACCAAAGAGGTGGGAGGTGCTCTGGTGAGAGCCCTAGGCTAGTGGGTGTGCAAAGTCAGTGAGCCAGCAAAGCTTCCTGTGCTGTGAGCTGAGAATGGAAAACAGGCAATACGCACAGAAACCATCATATGTAACATGCACGGAGCAAACAAGTAAGTACTGACTGCATACAGCAATGATCTCATAAGCCTGATTAGAAAAGCTAGGCACTAATGTGTATAAAGTAACTCTGTCTCATCTAACCTCCATATGACAAATAAGGTGTTTTTTTTTTCAACTCCCATCTACCTATGAAGAAACTGAAGCTCAGAGACAGAACATGGTTCGTTCAGGGTCACAAAACAGTAAGTGATGCAATTGAATCTTAAATTCAAGCTTCTGAATAAGTCCCATATTTCTGTCATATATCACACTGATTAGTATTATACCACTGCTTCTGGGATATGTTAGATAAGGTGGCAAAATACATGAATCTTCCCTACACGTGTTCACAGCACACTTCACTAATCAATCATTAATTAATCATGGTACCATAATGTTGAGCCCAGAGGGAGCTTCAGAATCCTTCTCAACCAACAGTCTAAGAAGTGCTACCTTCCCATCAGTTGCAACAGGCATATGATATAAAACCTATGGGCTCATCCTGCAGTAATTAAATGCATTTGGATGGCACACAATGGGCCCACCTATGCCAGACTCTGCCCTGTCACAGTGAGTTATTATATAATATCAAACCTTCTCATCTAGGGATGCTAATCCAGAATTGTAATAATTTGAATACAGTTTCCATGATCCTCAAAAGGTAGAAGCCCCAATTACATCTTTCTCTACCAAGTTTCAGGTTTTACTTAACAGCAAAAAAAATTTCAAAGTTTTTTTTTAATTAAAAAGTCAGTATATTTTTCAAACCCAAGACTCAAAAAATTATTCTATCAGCATGGCTTCAACTTCTGGGCTCACTGGATAATTCTGGAATGTTTATGGTCCTTTATTTATGATTCATTATTATACAATCAGGACTAATACAATCTGTAATTTTGCATTAGTTTTCCCATTTTCCTTATTAGTACCTATTTATATCTTAGCTTTCAAAAACCTGCTATGCTTGAAAGGTAACAAAACTCTCTCTCTTTTTAAAATACCCATCTTTCTGCTATGCCAGGATGGGCATTTGTTATTCCAGGTTAGATAAATCTTTTAATATACGCAGAAAGGTGAAGGTGACAAGAGGGAGTTAAGCGGTCACAACCTCCATTTCATTCAACACAACGCGCCCTTATTCATTCATTCAACAAACCTCTAATAAATACCTGCTACTTGGGCCGGACCCGGTGGCTCACGCCTGTAATCCCAGCACTTTGGGATGTGAAGGTGAGTGGATCACGAGGTCAGAAGATCGAGATCATCCTGGCTAACGTGGTAAAACCACATCTCTACTAAAAATACAAAAAATTAGTCGGGCGTGGTGGCACGCGCCTGTAATCCCACCTAATCAGGAGGCTGAGGCAGGAGAATCGCTTGAACCCAGGAGGCAGATGTTGCAGTGAGCGGAGATCAGGCCACTGCATTCTAGCCTGGGCGACAGAGCAAGACTCCATCTCAAAACACACACACACACACACACACACACACACACACACACACACACCAACACACACACACACACACACCAAAAAAACACCTGCTACTTGCTAGGCACCCTGTAAGTTCCTGGAGTCCCAAAGATCCCAGCCAGGGTTTAGTGGGTGAGGAGAGATAGACATGTGAGCAGTAACCATAAGGGGAGGTGATAGATTAAAGAATGAATGGTTTTGCTAGACCCGGCCACAGGGGAGGTGTCCCAGCAGAAGGAAAACCACAAGTAAAGACAGTGGGATAGGAAAGATCATGGGATGTTCGGGAAGCCATAAGAAGTTCTATCTATCTGGAATGCAGGATGGGTGGGAGCGAATAGTGGGAAAAAAATGTAAGGCTAAAAAGTCTTGTTGGAAAAGCCAAAATTGACAAATGGGATCTAATTAAACTAAAGAGTTTCTGCACAGCAAAAGAAACTACCATCAGAGTGAACAGGCAACCTACAAAATGGGAGAAAATTTTCGCAACCTACTCATCTGACAAAGGGCTAATATCCAGAATCTACAATGTACTCAAACAAATTTACAAGAAAAAAACAAACAACCCCATCAAAAAGTGGGCAAAGGACATGAACAGACACTTCTCAAAAGAAGACATTTATGCAGCCAAAAAACACATGAAAAAATGCTCACCGTCCCTGACCATCAGAGAAATGCAAATCAAAACCACAATGAGATACCATCTCACACCAGTTAGAATGGCGATCATTAAAAAGTCAGGAAACAACAGGTGCTGGAGAGGATGTGGAGAAATAGGAAGACTTTTACACTGTTGGTGGGACTGTAAACTAGTTCAACCATTGTGGAAGTCAGTGTGGTGATTCTTCAGGGATCTAGAACTAGAAATACCATTTGACCAAGCCATCCCATTACTGGGTATATACCCAAAAGACTATAAATCATGCTGCTATAAAGACACATGCGGCCGGGTGCGGTGGCTCACGCCTGTAATCCCAGCACTTTGGGAGGCCGAGGCAGGTGGATCATGAGGTCAGGAGATCGAGACCATCCTGGCTAACAAGGTGAAACCCCGTCTCTACTAAAAATACAAAAAATTAGCCGGGCACGGTGGCGGGTGCCTGTAGTCCCAGCTACTCGGGAGGCTGAGGCAGGAGAATGGCGTGAACCTGGGAAGCGGAGCTTGCAGTGAGCCGAGATTGCGCCACTGCAGTCCGCAGTCCAGCCTGGGCGACAGAGCGAGACTCCGTCTCAAAAAAAAAAAAAAAAAAAAAAAAAAAGACACATGCACACGTATGTTTATTGTGGCACTATTCACAATAGCAAAGACTTGGAACCAACCCAAATGTCCAATAATGATAGACTGGATTAAGAAAATGTGGCACATATACACCATGGAATACTATGCAGCCATAAAAAATGATGAGTTCATGTCCTTTGAAGGGACATGGATGAAACTGGAAATCATCATTCTCAGTAAACTATCACAAGGACAAAAAACCAAACACCTCATGTTCTCACTCATAGGTGGGAATTGAACAATGAGAACACATGGGCACAGGAAGGGGAACATCACACTCTGGGGACTGTTGTGGGGTGGGGCGAGTGGGGAGGGATAGCATTAGGAGATATACCTAATGCTAAATGACGCGTTAATGGGTGCAGCACACCAGCATGGCACATGTATACATATGTAACTAACCTGCACATTGTGCACATATACCCTAAAACTTAAAGTATAATAATAATAAAATAAAACAAAAAAAGTAAATGTAGGTATGACAATGTCTCATCAAATAGAGAATATTAATAAGGAGATAACTTTAAAAGTTAAAAAAAAAAAAAGTCTTGTTGAGGGCAGAGTTCCAAAGGTCCTGGATGCCAAGCTAAGAAAGTCTTGGGGAGCTGTTGGAAGATTTTAAACAGAGGGAGTGATGAGACAAAGTCTGTATTTTCGATGGTGTGGGACCCGGTTTTGAAAGGAATACAGCAGGACACAGACAGACTAATAAGGTGGCCACGGCTCATATCCAGGGTAGATAGGAGAGGGGCCCGGGCTTGATCCCCGTGCCTAGTTCTCAACCATCCATGGCCATTCTCAATACGCCTGGGCAGCCAGAGTGTCCCAATACCTGAAGCCACATCCTATCCAGATATATAATCCAAAAGAGTGAGAATGTAGCAAATAGCCTCCTTTCTAGACTCCATACCTTACCTTGGAACTGCCTGATTTTCAGAATTCCTGATCCTGTCCCAGGTCAGCATGTCCAGCCCTCCCAACCTCTGGCCACATCTCTACATAAGCCAGTCCCTTTGTCCCCCTATCCCTCAGGGAAAGAGTTATCTTGGATGCTTCAAATCCTCCATGGAGTTCAGGGTGCTCTGGGGATAGTGGACCAAAGTAGAAGAACAGGCACAACCCAACGCTGAAACCTGAACATCCACCTCCAACATCATCAGAACAAAGGATAGCCAGATGTTTGAATCCACTGGGTGCTCTAAAAAGCAGCCATCCCATCCTAAGTATAAGGGGGAAAAAGCACTATTACATTTGATATAAGCACATCTAGGAGGGTGGGAGGGGAATGACCTTCAAAAGAAATTCAACAAGAATTGATCCAGCAGAATTAGTCAAGCCCACATTTCCAAACATGTGCTCCATAGAAAACCAGTCCCACAAAATGCCCTGAAGGCAAAAAGAGAAAAGAAAGAAAAACATACATTTTAGAAGCATCAGACTATTTTCCCCATTTTAGAGATCACAATGAACAATAGAATATTAAAGATTCCAAGAGGCCTTGTAGGAAAGAAATCTGAATGAATGCTTCAGCCTCCCCCTTTTGCAGGTGGACAAACTGAGGTCTGAAACATTTTCACGTGACTCTGCATTGTTAGTTAGTGTTCCCAAAGCTGCAAGTGAAGTCATGCAACCCTCTGGCAAGCACTGTGTCTCACACTTCATGAATGCCTAGTCATCCTGATTAATATTCAAGAGGACCCTAAATATTTGTTGAGTGACATTACCAAAAATAAGTTTTGAATTCTTTTATGTGGAGATGGATATACTAACTTGTAAATTTTTCATCATGCATTTACTCACCCACTCAAATGTATTTATTGAGCACCTATTATGTTCTGAGTGTGCTGCTAGCACTGGGTATAAAGCTATGAATAAGACAAGTCCAGCCTTGACTACAAGGAGCTTAGAGCCTAGTGGGAAAGTGAAGATCAAGAACTTCAAAAAGTAGTGAGAGGCTCTGCAAAGAGAAAAAGTGTAGGTCTGATGTGCCCCACCTCATCCACCTTTCTTGTAGAGCCTCTCTTTCCAAGGATGGATGTTATTTCTATCACTGTGTCTCCATTTAAATAGTTTTCTTCCCACACTCACCCTCTGGCTTCCTTATTTGTAGTGCCAAAAGGAAAAAAAAAAGTTCCCAACACCCTGCCAGAGTAAAAGCAATTGTGAAATCCCAAGTATAGTACAGATCTGTGACCACCTCCCCCTAAAACTATCTCCTCCCCGGGAAGCATCTGCCCTCCTCAGTTAGTCCGGAAGGGAGAAGCACCCAAAGCCTCATTCAAGGCGATGTGGCGGCTGGTCTTTACAACACCTTCCCAAAATAATAAGGCTTTGTGGGAGTTTACCTCGGGTGAGCCCACGCTCTTCTAGCAGCTGTGTGTGTGTGTGTGTGTGTGTATGTGTGTGTGTGTGCCCTTTATTCCTAAGGCTAGGACCTCCCTGCTCCAGCAGCTGCTCTCTGGCCCTGGGTAGCCAACTGCCTCCCAATGCCTCTTTCGAATTCTTCCCTCTGTGCCCTCCAGAATTCCCACTGTTCATATTTGACTCCTCACAATACAGAAAGCTATGCCTTCTCTAATCAAATGATGTCTCTGCCAAACACTCTGTGTTGGGGCCATGTGTATCTCAGGATGGGAGCAGAGTAGACAGTATCCTTTCTTCCCCTCTGTGCTTATGTCATCATTCAAGGGCCTCATGCCATCTGCAACCCCACCTCTCTTCCTCTTCACAGCTCTTACCTACCACTTGTAGTCAATTATGTTACTGTTCAGAAATATTCACTCACTGTCGCCTCCTGCCTGCATGGGTGGAGTCTATTTCCCCATATCTTGAATTCTGGCATGGCCACATGATTTGCTTTGGCCAAGGAAATATTAGTGGGTGTGACATGACCAAAAGTTTGAAAAGTGCTTGCTCTTTGGCACCTCTGCCCTCACGATGAGATAAGCATGCCTGTTCTAGCCCACCAGTTCCAACAGGTCAATGACCAGAGCTATTCCAGCCACCCACCCCAACTATGAACAACCTAGATCAGCCAAACCCCATCCAAACTGCAGGTGCAAGATCACTGGAATTACCTAGATGAGTAAGGCCTAGATCAAACTGCCTCCAGATGTGGAAGCTAAATCAAGGCTTACTATTGCGTATCATCCAGTTTTTTGTGATTGTTTGTTATGCAGTAATAACTGACCAATATATCACCCCAAGATTACTCTCCCACATCCACTGAGATATTTAACTGGCTATGTTTCCCTCTGTACCCTGACTCCCACTACTGTGATCAATGCCCATGTGCTCAATGCCCTGGCTTCATGGCCTTTGTGCCTCCGCTCCAGTAACCTGTACCCTTTTTCCTACTCCCTTATCACCGACCTGGACTTCAACCCAACCCAGAACTACCTCTCCAGCAAATACCTATCTCAGGAAAATCTTATTTCTATCTCCTGTCTCTTCCTAACCCTCCTTGCTAACCTCACCAAAGCTATACGGCACCCTAATCTCTTCACTCACAGTCTATCATCCCTCCCATACTCCATTCTCTTCACTTCTTACCTAGAAGAGGCTGCATAGTCAATCATTACCTCATCCCCTGAACTTCCACCACCCCACCAGTTCTCTATCTTGAGGAATCTAAGCAACCACTTCCCCTGCTCCTGAGCAACAGATAGGCACTAGAAACCAAAACCCCATCTATGCCAACAAATGCAACTACAATATGGTTCTGTCACTCTCAACCTCAGCTACTTAGCAATCCTTCAACTTTTCCCCAATATGCTCCCTTCTCCAGCTCTTCTAAACCCTTTTCCCCTTCCTCATTCAGATGCCACAGGGGCTCCTTTTTTACTGAAAAAAAAAAATTGAGGTTTTTAGTCATGAAGGCCTGTGCTTCTCTCCCCTCTGGCTACTCACTTTCTCTCCTACCTACCTTCCCTACTTCCCTTCTCAATGAAAAACGGTCCCTTTAAAACTGACTTATCCCCAGTGCTCTTTCTCCAAGCCCTGCCACCTCCCTGGGACCCTGTTCTATCAACACTTTCTTGAACCTCTATAGGCTCCCCACTCACCCCCTGCCCCCAGCAGCATGCCAGTTACCTTAAAAGAAAACGGGACTCTTCCCTCTTCCCTCGCCTTGAAGATATTCTCTGTAATCCTTTTCTCCATCAAAACTCATCATCTCCATCTCTCCCTTTCTATCCTCATCCTCTGCATTCCGGCTTCTGCCCCCACATGTCCCTGACTCACACAGCTCTCCCCAAAGTTACCAGTGGCTTCCAAAATACCAAACCAGAGCTTCTTCTCAGTTCCCACCTCCCAGGCCTTCCTGCTGCATCTGCTGCTTTCGGGCCCCCTTCCTGGCATGTTCGGGTGCCTCCCCTCCTCCCTCTCTGCACACCTTTGAAAGTCACTCTCAGGTGCTCCTTTTCTCCCCACCACCCTTCAGATGTCAGGGTCCCTGGAGCTCCATCTCCAGATCTCTTCACAAACTACCCACTCTCCTTGACCCTCTTAGTCCTGGATGCCCCCTAGACAACTCAGACATACTCTGACTACAACCAAACTCATTGTTTTCCTCCTCCACTTCCTCTCTTAACTGTTCCTTCTGAATTTACCTTCCTTAGTATTCTCATCCACTCAGCAGGCCCAGCTAGCAACCTGGGCATTATCCCACGCTCTTCATCTCCTCTCTCTCACACTGTCACATCCAATCAATTTTCTTATGTTCTGATGCTATCTTCTCAATATCCCTCCTCCTTTCCTTCTCTCTCCTTTTCTCTTCTATACCCCTCTTCCCTTCTACCCTCCATCCCCATCCACCTCAGTAACTCAGTTCAAACAGGTCTTCATCAGTTGGATTATTTCAAAAGCCTAATAGCTGATCTTTGTACTTCCAACCTCTCTCTCCTTCCAACTCTCCTAACGTACTGCTTCCAAGCCAGAATTAACTTTCTAAAACTCACATTTAAAGAGATCACTCCCAGGCTTCTAAAGAAGCTCCTTTCTGCCAATAGGAAAGAGTCCAAGCTCCTTAGATTCAGATTCTAGGAACAAATAACATTTTTGAAAACTCACCAGATACCCAGCACTGTGCTCATCTTATCCTTGCATAAATCCACTGATGTATTATTACTTCCACTTTAGAGGTGGGGAAAATTAAGACGTCGAGTCTAAGTAACTTGTTCAAGGTCACACAGCTAAGAGGCAGGGCCAAGATGAAACCCAAGCCTTCTAACTTGGATCAGGGTGCTTTCCACTGAGTCCTTTATTGGTCGGCCTTTGAGATTAATAATTTGGACTTGGGCTACATGGTCTTCTGTGTTTATCTGATGAGGTTTCTCAACAGTGGCCTTTTGGAAATTTCTCACCCTATTCAATGTCTCCTGGAAACCAAAATCTCAGTGGACCTCACTTTAAGAGGTCTAATTTTCCAATCCTACTAACTTTAAATTTAACATTGGGTTAAAAATCTCAGCATCAGATGTCACATGAAATTTCCACTGATTCTCCCCATCCCCTGGAAATAGTCACCCTGTATATTGGACAGGAATTGTTGGGGGCTGAACTGCATCCCCCCTCCCACCAAAACTCCTAACCCCAGTACCTAATGTGACTGTATTTGGAGTTAGATTATTTAAAGAGCTAACTAAGTTAAAATGAGGTCCTTAGGGTGGGCCCTAATCCAATCTAACTGGTGTCCTTATAACAAGTGGTGACTTGGACACAGATACACGCAGAGGGAAAGCAATGTAATGACACGGAGAGAATACAGCCATCTGCCCACCAAGGAGAGAGGCCTCAGAAGAAACCAGTCCTGCCAAAACCTTGGACTTCAACCTCTAGAACTGTGAGAAAATAAACTTCAGCTGTTTAAGCCACCCAGTCTGTAGTAGTTTGCTATGGCAGCCCTCAAACCAATACAGAGGGGCTCTCTTTCAGAAATCCTCAAGGATTAAAGGAAACTCTCACAGCTTAGGTACCCCATCACTTCTGACTCTTCCAATCCCAAAGGTAAGAAAAAGAAATGAGGGAAGGTAGAAAATTTGAAAAGCCAAGGAAGGCCCTGCCTTACAGATGCTATGAATTAGAATTGTGATGCAATTTCATTCTTCTTAGCAACTGATTGAGGACTCCTGGGGCCTTTGGTATTGCTTTATTCTAGAAGGATTAAGTTCTTAGAGAGAATTAGTATCCCAGAAAATGGAGATGCTTTCTAACCAGGACTGGGGGTCTACCCTGTGGCATCTGGCCAGGTTTCTAGACTTATAGATGTCATGGGGAAATAAAATTTGACCCCCTACAAAAAGAGAATGTGCCTAGTAAGGACATAAGATTAATTTTTTATTTCATCAAGTAAAGACTTTGGGAAAAAAAAAGAGAGCGATAGGGTCTTTCTTTGTTGCCCAGGCTGGAGCACAGTGGCGTGAGCATGGCTTACTGCAGCCTCAACTCCTAGGCTCAAGCAATCCTTCCACCTCAGCTTCCCAAGTAGCTAAGACTACAGGTGTGCGCCACCACGCCTAGGTAACTTTTTTTTTTCTGTAGAGACAGGGTCTTGCTATGTTGCCCAAGCTGGTTTTGAACACTGGGCCTCAAATAAAGGCCTTTTTATAAAACAACAAACTACAAACCAGTTAAAAGAAATCACATAAGTATATTATATACACATACATATATGAACATGGATAAATCTTTAAAAATGTTAAAGAAAGGAAAATAGCAAGATGCAGAATATGTGATGACACTGTTTATACACATTAAGACAATGCTATTTAAGCCAGATGTGGGGGCTTATGCCTGTAATCCCAGCACTTTGGTAGGCCAAGGCAAGCAGATTACTTGAGGTCAGGAATTCAAGACCAGCCTGGTCAACATGGTGAAACCCTGTCTCCACTAAAAATACAAAACTTAGCCAGGCATGGTGTACACGCCTGTAATCCCAGCTACTTGGGAGGCTGAGGCAGAAGAATCGCTTGAACCTAGGAGGTGGAGTTTGCAGTGAGCCAAGATCGCACCGCTGCACTCCAGCCCAGGCGACAGAGCAAGGCTCCATCTCAAACTAAAAAAGAAATACTATTTATATACATTAAGAGAATACTCATGCACAATACAATACCACAATACAATACCATTCAGACTTGTAAATGTATGAAAAAGAATGAATAATATTTCTAGAAGGATGCAGGTCAATATCATGATTATTCTTCTCTTTAAAATAGAGTTTCTCAACCTGAGTGCTATTAACATTTAGGACTAGATAATTCCTTGTTGCAGGCTCTCCTTGCATTGCTGGATGATTGGCAACATCCCTGGCCTCTACCCACTAGATGACAGTAGCACCCCCAAAACTGTCCTGGTTGAGAACCACTGCTCTCAGCAAAAAGAGAAGATAATGTAAGTGAGAAGATGGTTAACAATAATTTTTAAATCTACATTTGTAATATTTTTGTTCTTAAAAAATATTGTTAAGAAAATATATGTCAATTGTTCATTTGAGTGATAAAAATACGAGGGTTTGCTATTTTTCTGAGTCTCATACATTTATAAAATAAAAACTACCATCTATGAGAACTATAATTTTGTGTATTAAAAGGGTAATTTTTAAATCAAATAAGCAGGAAGGCTAGACTAAGATGAGGTGTTGTGGGCTGAGAAAGACATGTTGAAGTCTTAACACCTGGTACCTGTGAATGTGACTTTATTTGAATATAGGGTCTTTACAGATGTCATCAAGTCAAGATGAGGTCATACTGGAGTAGGCCGGGCTGCAAATCTAATCCCTAGTGTCCTTAGAGGGATAGAGAGATGTGGACACAGAGACACAGGGAAGACAACCATGTGATGATGGAAGTGGCCACTGGAGTGAGGCCACTACAAGCCAAGGAACGCCAAGGATTGCCGGTAACACCAGAAGCCGAGAAGAGGCGAGGAAGGAATCTTCCCTAGAGCCTTCAGAGGGACCGTGGCCCTGCCAACACCTTGGTTTCAGACTTCTGGCCTCCAGAACTATGAGCTAATAAATTTTTGTTGTCTTAAGCCACCCAGTTGCTGGTACTTTGTTAGAGCTGTCCCAGGAAACTAATGCATAAAGCTATGCTCCTTTTCAAACTCGCTGCATTGCTGGGGAGGTCTTCATTCTCCTACCAACCAGTGAAAACATTGTCTCAAGCCAACTTGCCTTTGCCAGCCACAGGGAAGCTCAGGGGCTCTGGCCAGCTAGAGAACAAGAAACCCTGTAGCTTCCCCACTGCTGTGTTGTGTAGTGGTAGAACAAGATGGGAAAACAGCAGCATTCACAGCAGAGCTGACACTGGTTCTGTGAGCTTTGCCAAGTGGGACCTCAGTTTACTCATCTGAGCAATGGAACAAAAAGAACAAGCCACAGAGACATCTGGAGGACAAAATGAGATCATGTATATGAAAAGGACTTACAAATGCAAACTGTCATCGGCACTAAGCTGTCATTTCACACCTGGACCAAAGAAAAGACAATTAGCCCCAGAAAAGACAATTAACTTGATACCTTTAGGAAGAAAAAAAAAATCTGTCTTTGAATATAATTACTTTTATACTTGCTTGGGAAATCTCTATCCAGTCTCAAGAGGGTTAAAAATGAGGAAGGGAGACAGATACACACGGAAAAATGGCCGCAAAAATAAAACCAATTAAAGTTTTTATACCATGCTCCCTAAAAATTTTTAACAAAACTTTCTCCTCTGTTTCCTCTTTGATTGGTCATCTTGGCAGGAAATTCCCCATGTTATCATTACACACAGAGCAGTTTATCAATCACTGCTGAGGCTGAGTTTTTATTATCTGGAGCTATGGCACCCAGACCAAGCCCTGGGAGGGATGCCCTTAAGAAGGAAGAAGCAGGAACGGGGTCAAAGTTCAGAACCCAGAACAGATGTGGGAGATCCAAAGAGTGGCCACCTAGGTGCACAAACTAACCCCTGCCCCCCCCACCCCCCTGCAGCACAAACGAAACCCCCCCAGCACAAACGAAACTTCCCAGCACCAACAAAGCAGCGGCAGGAAACAGCTGTGGACAAGGGTGCTTCCTAGTCTATTTCCCCAGTTCCAACAGAACTCCAGTTGAATTTTTCTTCTCTTTATAAAGACCTCCAGAATGCAATTTCCACAACCTTTGTTGCCTTCTCTATGTCCAGCATTTAACCATTCTGAATGCCAGAAAGTTCTTTCTGGGATCTAACAAATCTTTCAAGCTGGAGGCCATGCCGCCTCCCCTTGCTTTGTGCCCTGTTTGGGAGCCTGTCTGGTAATAGCCTCCCCTTCCTGATTTGAGCTCGTCCTGTTCATGAAGACTGATGGAGCTTCCTGCTGAAAGGAGCCTTTAGACATGAGGCAACCCCTTCCTTCCACTGATGAAGGAGCAGGGACCCAGAAGCTAAAACACTGGTCCATCCCACAGGTCTCCTCTCTCCTCCATAGAGCCGATGCTCCAAAAACGTTTTAGCTCCTTTTTAGAAATACATAAAAAGATCTCATCTACAGGGTCAGGGGGAGAGGGCCAGAGTGGGCTCGGGAACAGGATCAGCAACAGGGTCTGGACAGTACCCCCATCCACCCCCATCTCCAGTGGGTTTAGGCTTCTTTGAAAATACTAAGACGTGGCACAGTATTGACATTTGTAAAATACTTTAGAGTTTACAAAAGAGCACTCTTTCACATATTATCTCATTTAATATTCAAAGTTTCCATTTAAAATGCACATGACCACCCCCATTTTACAGACGAAGAAAGAGTCCTACAGGTTAATGGTTTATTCAAGGTCAAATCAACTCTGAGAAGACAGCCCATATGGAACCCAGGCATTTGCCTTCAAATCTCATGCTCCGTGACCACGCAAGGCCCCCCACAGCAAAGAGTGCACTCGAGTCAGAATCGAGAAACCAAGGTGTGAGCCCCAGCTCTGGCGCCCCTTGCCATGTAAACACGGGGAAGTCACTGGCCTCCTGATGCTTGGTCTCTTCTAATGCAAGACAAGGAGGCTGGGCAAACAAGGACTTTGAAAGTCACTCCCACCTCTGGAGTAGTGTGCCTCGCTCTGCCTTGTATTTTGTTTCAACACTTATTTTCTTTTTACTGATCGAATATCCACTTATTCTATTTACCACCCTCTTTGTAGATTATCCACTAGACCAAAACATCATGACTAAGCATCCCGAGTGTGTCCGGCATGGAGGCACAATGATCAGCAAAGACAGAGGTAGCCCCTGCCCTTGTGGAGCTTTTAGCCTATTGGAAAAATCAGGAATTTTGGAAATTTCTGATTCCAGCCAGGAAAGATGTGAAACTGTGACTGTAACAAATGCCACCAAGGCACAATGTACCATGTCTGAACACGGTACTTAAAGAGCACTAGGAGGGGACTCCAGCCCTCCCTGAAGAAGTTACTCTTGTGCAGAGATATGAAGGAAAGAGACTCTTCTGGAAGAGCACCCCAGGCAGAGGAAACATCATGGACAAAGGCCCTGTGGTAGGAATGAGCAAGGCAAGTGCAAGAGACTGAAAGGCCAGTGGGGCTGGAACAGGGACAGGGAGGAAAGCATAGTAGGCAATAAGAATGGAGGGCTAGAAAGGGCCCAGACCAGGCCCAGAAGGCAAGGATAAAGGGTGCAGTCTTTATGTGAAGAACAGTTGAAACCACTGGAAGGGTTTAGGAAGCTGGAGGTAAGGTAGAAGAGACCACAGGAACAGACACATCAGGGTATCCTTAGGTAATGAAGAGGGATCTGCTACTATGGGCCTGCTGCCAGCAAACTCAGATAACATGCTCACATGAGCTGAGCAAATCCCACTTGCTTGGACACTGAGTTTCTGGCGAATAAACAGACAACAGTTCACTATAGCTGTCCCCGGGTCTGGAAAAATATGTTTTGCTCTCCCTCCCCTCTCGCTGTGTTTCAGCAAATGCCTCATTGCTCTCTGGGTGGCCTGGCCCTCCCCTATGAGGGTAGCCATGGAAGTGCACCACTGAGATCTCTTTCAAGAGGACATGCCACAGAGAGCAGAGTTGACAACAGCACAGCTACCACCTTTTGGATCCATCACTGCATTCACATTGCGGCCACTCCCCCAAAGCTGCTTCCAGCCAACAACCAAGCACATTGGAGTACTCATGCCAATCCATTCCCATCCAATTCAGGATTCCTCTAACAATCAACTCTTGCTTGGGGACTTCCCATCAGCCTGGCTGAGACTTTCTCAGAGCTGGGCTGCAGAGGAGGCTCTTCCTACTCAATCTTTCCTTGCTGTCTCCTTTCACTGGAGTCAGGTGTGCATCAAGGTCTGAACACTCTCCCTCCTTCCTGCTCCCTCCCCTTTAATCCTACATAGGCATCTCCCTCAATAAGATTCTTGCATGTCTAATCAATCCTGTTTTGATGTCTGCTTCTTGGAGAACTCATCCTAATTCCCCTTCCATTCTCTTCCCCCATCTCAGATCAGTCTTCCTAAGAGGACTAAGATGATCCCCACTAACCTGGCCTGACTTCCACAGGGGCTCTCTGGGACTCAGGCAGCACATCCTGTCCTTTCTTGTAGCATGCTACCCAAGGCCTAGGCTTCTAGCCATCCTAAACTATCAAGAACTATTTGTTTCCAAGGAAAGCACTAGATGAGTTTTGCCAAAGCTGTGGTTCCTCAAAATCAGCCAAACCAGGGAGCTCCTCAGAACAGTTTTTTAAGCCATGTCCATAAAACCCAGGTCCTTAGAGATGCTCTAAGTGGGTCTAACAAAAGGGAGGCCTAGTTGGCAGGCCCTGGAGACCCCCAAACCACATTTTAACCAGAAAAGCTCCACTTTTTTTTATTTCATTTTGTTTTGTTTTTGGTATTGAGATTCTATGTAAGATTTCATTTGACCAAAAAAAAGTTCCACTACCAAAAGTAAAAATATATCTAATTGAAAAACTGCTACCAGGGGACTTTTTCTTTCTGGTAATGGCAGGCTATTACCATTAAAAACAACTAAAGATCTGGATTAAAAAGCACAGTGTATCTTCTTAAAATCACCAAAATGCTGATCAGATAGTAAGGAAAGACTAGTCTAAAAGTGAAAGGAAACAGGAATCCAGACAAGTATGAAAATCACTTTTGCCCTGAAGACATCTTGTGAGTCTGGCAAATTTGATCTTTATTTTGACAGCCTGGCAGGGCAAGAGAGAAAAAAATCCACAACCAGAACCCACATGAAATGGGGAGACCAAAAGTAGACCCTCCTCACAATAAGCTGGGCCCCTAAGGGTGAGGATAAATCAGAAATTGACTAGTCCTCAAGAGAATCTACAGACTGGGTTTGAATCACTTGTTTTTGAGGAAGCCTCAAGCCATTAATTTCATTTAAGGGTGGGGGCAAGATTTATAGTGCCCTCAAGTGTCTGCCAGAAAAATAAAATAAAATTGTTCTGTAGAGGAAGGCACCTTCATCATCTCAGGCTTAAGTTATACTTATAAATCATTTTCATGTACAATGACCAACATGCAATCAAAGATAACCAGACACACTGTGAAACCACCAGTGAGAACCATTAGAACTAACAGATATGAATGACCATCTCTCTCTCTCAGCTCTGAGACCCTATTGGTACTAGAAGTGTCTCCACTGAGTCACAGTAATCTAGTTAGTTGTGCTCAGAACACCACTCTGAGATCTGCCAGCTCCATCTATACTTTCCCTTCTAACAAAGTAGGAGGCTCCATTTGCTAGCCAAGAAGCTCCCATACTTTCTAAAGGACACCCCCAGACCCTAAGCATATGATCCCAGAGTCAGCCTTATGCTTTCACTGTAGGGAGGAAGTTCTACAGTTCCATCCCTATGGAAAGATAAAACCACTTATACCATGAAGACAACAGTGATTCCCCTTCGGGCCACCCCTACAACAGCATAGCCCCCCTTTTCCACTTTCTTCCTCCTCCCTAACAGTTCTGACCCTGTCTGCCCTCCCTCTTGATCAAGACTGCTCTCCTAATTAAAATAAACAAATGTCAGGAAGCAATTACTGCAGAGAAAGAGGCAGACGTTAGAATAGTGGCACTCTGGTATTGCATTAAGCAGTAACTTGCTATCTCTTCAAAGTTTCTGCACTTTAATTAAGCATCGTTATAGACAGGTTCAATGAGCTTTGGAGTGGGGTTTATCAAATTAGCTTCTCACAGGGCTGATGCTGTGTGATTGCAAGAGGTGTTCCTGATGCAAGGCTCAGCTGCCTGAGAGGGCCCAGGAGGGGAGCAAAGGGCAAGAAGGCCCAACTCCACTCCCTTGGCAGACCAGAGGAGGGGGTGAAACTCTACCCACAGTGGTGGGGAGGGTGAAACGGTGGAGAAAAACTAAGTGAACACTGAGGTAGGATTCAGACATCCCCCAAGCTGAGTACCTGCTTTTTCCCTTCATCCCCCTTCTGTGTGTGCCACCCACAAGAGCCTAGCCCAAAAGAGAAAGACCAGACTCTAGGAGGTGACAGGACAAAGAGTGAAATCAGACAGATCTCAATTCTAATTCTTCCTACAATCCAAATAACACTGAACAAACAACTTTTCTGTGCCTCAGGAGTTTTTCTCTTCATTTGCAAAATGGAAGTAATAACAGCTAACAATTTTTGAATACTCACTATGTGCCAGGCACCACTCTAAGCACTTTATGTGTCTAATTCATTTAATTCTTCTCTCTGGAATACTATAAGGTAGGTATGATCATTACCCCATTTAACAGATGAGAGGCTGGAGGCACTGGGAGAATAAAACTGCCCAAAGCCACACAGCTGGTGAGTGGTGAAGCCAAAACTCTAACCAGGCAGCCTGGATCTACAGCACATGCTCCCTGGTGGTCACAAAACACCACAAAGCAAATTAAAAAAACGATTTGCTCGACAATAAAATCAGATTTACCACGGCTGCTTGCAACATAGATAAATCTTTAAAATGTTATGCTGAGCAAAACAAGACATAAGTCCATTACATAAAATTCTGGAAACAGAAAAGTCCATAAATAATGACAAAAACTACATCGTGGTTGCCTGGGGCCAGGGGTGGGGACAGCAACTGACCACCAAGAGGCACAGAAAAACTTTTTGGGGGTGATGGAAATGTTCTCTATCTTGACTACGGTGTTTGTTACACAGGTGTATACATTTGCCAGTACTCAAATTGTACACTTAGAAAATTGAGGTACTTTATTGTACATGGCTTACACCTCAAACAAATTTTTGGAAACCTACTTACTAAATGAATGAACACAAAAATATAAATGGCAGTGTTATGGCCTGAATGCTCACATTCCCCCACCTAAGTTTATATGTTGAAATCATCCCCAGTGTGATAATAAGAGGTGGAGCCTTTGGGAGGTGATTGGGTCACGAGGGTGGAGCCTTCATGAATGGGATTAGTGCCCTTACAGCAGAGGCCAGAGGAAGCTTATTTATCCCTTCTGGCCCTTCTGCCATGTGAGCACACATTGAAGACACCACCTAGAAGAACTGGCCCTCACCAGACACTGAATCTGCTGGCAACTTGATCCTGGATTTCCCACTCGCCAGAACCATGAGTAAAAAATGTCTGTCATTTCTAAATTACCCAGTCAAAGCTATTTTCCTATAGCAGCCTGAACGGACTAAGACAGGCAGTGATCCTTGTGTGGTGGGATTCATTCATTCAATAAATATTTATTAAGCACTTATTATGTGTCAGGCAATGTTCTAGGTGCTGGTGACACATCAGTGTAAACAGATTAAAATACTTGCCTTTGTGGCTCTTAAATTCTAGTGGAGAGAGACAGATAATAAACAAACACATAAATATAACAAATAGTATGCCCAATGGTGACAAGTACTCAGGAAAAAATAATAAAGTAGATAAGAAGGAATTAAGAGTGCTGAGGGAGAGGACTGCAATTTAAAACAAAGGGTTCAGGGAAAGTCCACTTCTCAGCAAGGTACATGATATGGTTTGGCTGTGTGTCCTCACCCAAATCACATCTCAAATTATAATCCCCATAATCTCCACATGTTGAGGGAGGGACCAGGTGGGAGGTGACTGGATCATGAGGGTGGCTCCCCTATGCTGTTCTCGTGGTAGTGAGTTCTCATGAGATCTGATGGGCTTATAAGGCAGTTTTCCCTGCTCTTGCTAGCTCTCTCTTACCTGATGCCATGTAAAATGTGCCTCTTCCCCTTCTGCCATGATTGTAAGTTTTCTGAGGCCTGCCCAGCCATGCCGAACTGTAAGTCAATTAAAATTCTTTTCTTTATAAATTACCTGTTCTCAGACATGTCTTTATAGCAGTGTGAGAACAGACTAATATAGCACATGAGCAGATAGGAAGATGGACGAGGTAATCGCACCGGCCCTGAGAGCAGACCTGTCCAGCCTCTGTGTTCTCCTTCAGCCCTGCTCCGCAATCCTCCACCCCTGGCTGCCCTCTCCTTTACCTCAGGTTCTCCATGCTCTTCCTGTTTCACCTGCCTCTTCTTCCCACAGCTGGCACAGTCCTGCCCACCAAGGTCTCAGGCCCCCCTCACACCTCCAGCCACATCTCCCAAGCAAGCCTTCACACCTTGCTGCACACCACCTGCTTGGTTTAGAACATCTTGTCACCTCCCAGGTGCAGACTTATCTCCTTCAGACAAGCTTCAAGAAAACAAAACCAACCTGCTGGGGACAAGGCTTGGGAGGTCTGTGTGGCCAAGACACTGATTTTATCTCAAGTGGGATGATGAGTGTTGAGGCCCAGAAGTTCAGTTAACTGTCAATATTAGTGATCATCTACTACAGGAGATACTGGGATTATAAAGCTTAGTAAAACAGGGCCCCAACCGTCATGGGGACACATACGCGAACTACAAATTAAATAGCACATAATGGCTGTATTAGTGGAAATCATAACAATACAGTACTTGCTGTGAGCTTACCATGTGCTGAGAGTTGGACCCGGCACTCAGTACACACACGGCCATATAATCCTCACATAGCCTCATCAAGTAGGTAACCTACTCCTATCTTACAGATGAGGCTCAGAGAGGTTAAGTAACTTGCCCAGAGTCACAGAGCTTGGAGGTGGTCAAATCAGAATTAGAATTATGTCTGTCCCACTCCAGAGGCTCCAGCCTCGTCACTCTAATAAAACACACATGGGCACAGAAGTAGCTCAGGGAAAGAAGTGTTATCTGTGTCCACTGGTATAGGGATGGCCTCAGAGAGGAGGCATTTGATCTGAATTTTAAAAGATGAATAACTGATTTGAAGGATTATAAGGGGGAGGAGAGGTGGGAAGGAAGAGTGAAGAAGAAGAATCCAGGGACAAAAGGAAACACAAGGAAAAGCACAATGGTACTGAACAATGACAAACTGTTGAGTTTTATTGCAGGCACAGTGTCAAGGGCAGGAGGATAGAGAACTTGAGCTTGGAGAGGTCAACAGTGTCCAGTTTTGAAAGGCCTCTAGGTCAAGCTAAGGATATATATTTATTTTATTTAATAAGGCACACACTAACAAAGCACGTAGTAAATGCTACATAAGTAGTACTTACTATGTGCTAAGCACTTTTTTAAGCATATCACAAATATTAACTCATTGAATCCTTCTAACACCCTACAAATTATGTATTAATATTATCGCCCATTTTATACGTGAGAAAATTGAAGAACAGACAGATTATATAACCCACCTATGCTAACTCAGCAAGTAGAAGAAATTTAAACCTAGGCAGTCTGACTCCAGAGTCCAGGCTATTAGCCACTGCCTAGGCTACATTAATGAGATTTTACAGGCAAGGCAGTATTTCACACAAGGAATGCTGTGCTTAGTTTTATTTCCTTAAGATTTCTACCACCATACGTCAGGAAAAAAGAAAATGGAAGAAAAAAAGAATGGGTGGTAGGAAGACCCCCCAAGAAGGCACCAAAGTGTTCTGTTGAAAGCTGATAATGGCCCATTGGCAAGAAAGACACAGAGGAACAAGTGGAGTTCAAAGATATTTTAAAAGAAGAACCAAAAGGGCGTGATGACTAACGTGGTGGGGAAAGAGGGATATTGAAATTGGCTTCCACCTTTCCAGCTCAGATTCCTGGATAGATGGAGATGCTACCCACTCAGATACGCAGGAAATGATGACACGCAGACTTGGGTGTGTTAAGTCTAATTCTCAACTTACTATGGATTCAATATTGTAAGAACAAGTAGGAGTTGCCTGTGTAGCTCTGAAGCCAACACTGTTGGTTTTGCAGCTGTCAATCCTGATGTGCCTGTGGGTGGAGAGGACCAGAAGCCCGGTAATATAAGGTGTCTGAGAGAGTTCAAGGCTAGAGGTATCAACTGGGGAGTCATCCACCCTTGAACAGTAGTGAAAAGCATAGGATTAGAAAAGATATCACAGAGAGAAAAGGTAGAGTGCGCAGGAAGAAGGTGGGTGGCAGGGCTCTGGAGAAAGACATTTAAGGGTCGTATAAAAGAAACAAACCAAAAAGAAGGGGTGGGTTTTCACAGGCTTTAAGAAACAAACACACCCTGTAGATCTGTGGCTAGGTAATATTCCTTAGAAAGTCCAATGTGGGGAGGCCGGGCGCGGTGGTTCACACCTGTAATCCCAGCACTTTGGGAGGCCAAGATGGGCTGATCACTTGAGGTCAGGAGTTCGAGACCAGCCTGGCCAACATGGTGAAACCCCTTCTCTACTAAAAACACAAAAATTAGCCAGGCATGGTGGTGCACACCTGTAATCGCAGGTGCTCAGGAGGCTGAGGCAGGAGAATTGCTTGAACCCGGGAGGCAGAAGTTGCAGTGAGCCAAGATCTCACCACTGCACTCCAGCCTGGGCAACAGAGCAAGACTCCATCTCAAAAAACAAACAAAAAAAAAAGAATGTCCGATGTGGCAAAACAGGAAAAGAAGCCTGGAGGCCAACTCACTGTGTAACCTTGGACAAGTTGCTCACCACCCACTTTGAGCCACAGTTTGGACTCCATAATCTCCAACATCCCTGCCAGTTATGAAACGGGACCATGAAGTGACCTCAAGATGGGTCTGTGTAACCACCCTGAGAACATTCAGGACAGTAACTCCAGGGAAGGAGTGCAGGCGGTAGTCCTGCCAGCTGCCCTACCAACCAAGGAGGCCACTAGTTAAGCAATGGGAGCAATCTCATCTCAGCCTTTCACTCTTTTTTTTCCTCTCTTGGGCTCTCTGGGCCTTTGTTCCTCTTTATTTACAGAGAGAGAAGCATTCTTCTCAGGGCACAAGAGAGAGTTTCTTCCCCACTCAGGTCCCCCTCCTCTGGGCAGACTAGAGGAGGAGAAACCTGCCATTTCTGGGGTATGAGTGATCCAAACACAGTGTGGAAACCCCCTGCATGGCTGTATTCCAAGAAAACACGAACACCATTTCATGGGATACTGTGTCTGAACACTCTGCATTGAGAAAAGCTCCCCTAGTCCACTTCACAGGAATGGTGTGAGCACCTGGGAAAAGCAGTCATGAAAAGGTTTTGGAAGACAAGTCTCATTGTACATAGAGAAACTCCTCCATGGTGTCAGAGGAAAAAAGTGAGCCTCTACTGGGTACTTTACAAAACAAAAAGACAGGGCATCTCCACTTTTGTGCCCCACAGGTACCGCAAACACAATATGCCCCAACCTGGATTCATCAACCTCCCAGCAGCCTCCACATTTGCTTTGTGATCTGGTTTCTTGGCCTCATCAAATGGCACCCACAACCTCCCAATTGCTCAATACAAACTCTTCCCTTCTGCCTGCCTACCCCTTTCTATCCTCACTGCCACTTAACTCCATCACCATCTCTTACCTGAATTGTTGACCTAGACTCCTCACTTATCTCCTTGCATTCAGCCCTGGTCCTCTCTCACCCATTCCCACACTGGAGCCAAAGTGATCTTGGCATAATTTCAGTTCGAGCACACAACTCCTTTCCTTAGAGCTCTTCAGTGACTCTTGGTGGCTCTCAACATGGAGTCCAAACTCTGGCCTGGCAGGCAAGGCCCTTTCCCAGCTGTCTGCCACCTCTTTAGATGCATCCCTCTCATCCTGCAGCTGGCTCTTCCCTCAGCAATCTTTGTCTCTAATGCACCCTGCTGTCCCTCCACCTCTGCACAGACTGTTCCCTCTACCTGGAATACTCCTCTTTACCCTCTTGGCCTAAGCCAAGCCACAATCAACTTTTTGATCTTTCACCTCAATTCCTCCAGGAAGCCCAATCCTACTACTCAAAGAGTTAAATAATGCTCTTTCATGCAAACTCTACCCAAGCAAAGTGTAAGTACTTCAACAACATCCAAGTGTGCCGTGCATCGTCTCAGCCAATCTGAAAAGACCCAACACATGACACATTGCACCATGCCAGTGGTACTCTGGGTTGGGAAAGAAAAATAAAGATGCTTGCATGGGCAAGTGACTTAATCCCCCCCAGACCTCCATTTCCTCATCAGTAGGTAAAGGGATTGGCACAGAATTCTGTCCCCATTATGCTTGTCATTGTCAGAAATACTTAAACACATCCAATCAGTCCTCGCAATGATATTTAGACATTAACCCTCTGGCATCCCCAGCCCTTCAGTCTCCAAACACCAACTGCAGTGATCCTGAGATCCACTGGTACCTTGGGTGGCATGTTCAGCGTGCCCTGTGGGCTGGGGCAGCGGGCACCTAAATAGATTTCTCCTGCACTACCTGTGCCCCCATCAACACAAAGGGCAGAAGGTCAGATAGAAAGCTACTCTTGGTCTCCGCACTTTGACTCTGGTCTCCTAGAAGCCCCTCCTATGAAATGGTCCTGAAAACTTCCAAAGAACTCCACAAACCTCAAAGAACGTGAAAAGGCTCCATCACCTACAAAGTCCTCAGTAGAATCCAAGTGACCCAAAACCCAGTTACTTACGGCTCTTTATTGCCATGTATGATATTTTAGAATTTATGCTAACATTTGTTTTGTGTAGGATTACAATAATAATACATGTGCCTGCTAGAAATTTTTGAAAATACAAGAGAAAAAGCACAATTATGCCACTTAGAAATGATTAACATTAACCTTTGTAGTCTTTTTTCTATGCACATATTATTTAATTTAGATCATAATATACATAGTTTATAGCTTGATTTTTCCCTACACCATTAAGTTATTTTGATGATAGCATAATATTTCATTACCACCATTAATTTAAGTAATTCCCCATCCAAAGAACTTAAGATATTTCAACTTTTTAAAACTTTTCTCACAGTAACATTATAAATAAAACTGTGAGAAATATCCCTAAATATATTTTTATATACCTTTTTTCTTAGGGTGGAGATCTAGTGTTTCTGCATTACGCTGACAAAGGAAAAACCAAGAGGCAAATAAAGAAAAACAAACCAAGGTGGCAAACATATTTTTTCCTCACACCACTGAAGAACCCATTCATACATGCTCGTGCTCTTTCTTAGAACTGGCCAAGGTTAAAACAAAAAAAAAAATGTCACTTTTTTAGGCCTATCTAATAGGCCAGGCTTAGCAAAAATACATTATAAAGGGGCTGGAAAATGTTAATTCTTATACTCTGCAGGTGGGATGGTAATATGGCATAAACTTTAGCGGGAGGAACAATATTATTTTTAAATATAGAAAATGTAGAATTTAAATATCCAACAATAAGGAATAAAGTAAATTGTTACATCTCTGTAATGGAGTACTTTATACCTTTACAACCCTTTCAATAAAAGGTTAAAGAATACCTACTGGCACAGTAACAAGCTCACATTATAACACTAAAATCAGGAAAAAAAAATCAGACAACACAGTGTGTTTCTGTAAACAAATAAAAAAAGAAGTGTATACAATCTAATACAGACACACAAACCACACACACACACAAACCACACACACACACAAACCACACACACACACACACACACACACACACACACACCTGGAAGGATCTACACCAAAAAGTCAACAATGGTATGTGGTAGGAAAATAGTGATTTTTTTGCTTCTGTCTCTGTGCTTTTCTGACTTTTTAAAGTTTTCAGTATTAGTGTTTATCATTTGTATCACATAAAGTACTATGTATTAATAGTGGTAACGGAAAACCTTATCAGATTGGTGAAGGAAATAAAGCAACACTAACTGAGGTTTCCGAACACAGGTGGATTGGTCCCATTTCCTGTCCCTCCTTTCCACCTCTCTGCATGTGGCCATACCCCTCAGGGGACAGAAGAAAAACAACAAGAAAATGAGCCTGTGACATTTCCCACCCAGTTTTGAAACTGAGCCGAGCAGCTGAAAAAGACTAGGATCAAAGAAATACATCATACCTGGGAGCCAGTGCCATATCCCAGGCTACTCGTCACTGATGTCTAACCCTGAAACAGTAGCAATGGGAGAATGCTTTACCTAGCTCCAAAATGCCAACAATGAGTAATTATTAGTAATATTGCCCCTGGGCCCCAGGAAGCCTCATCTCACATGGGGGTTGGGGGTGAAACAAAGGAGTTGCCCCCTCTCACAAACCAATCTGCCTTCAGCACACCTGGTACTTCACATCTGCACAGTAACTCACAGCCTCAGGCCCCCAGGGCACATTCCCAGGGGAAAGCCCTCTCTATGGACATAAGTGTAAGAGGAAACATCTCATGTGTAAAGAGAAAGGCATGGGGACTCAGATATGAGCCTTGACATGCCCATGTATTGAAAGAGCCAACAAGCCCCATCCCCAGCCAGAGAAGTAGAGGGGGATGGTAGCCCCGACCAGGCTGTGGTCCTAGATGTCTATCTCTACTTGCTGGCTAGCTGTGTTGCTTTATTCTAGTGTTCTAATGGCTCTGCCCCTCTGTGTCCTCATATGTAATACAGAAAATGCTAATTCTACCTATGGCATTGGGTTAGGATTATAAAACTAAAATAATATACATCACAAACCTGAGTCTAGCACACAGTACTCGGAAATTGGTCCCCTTTTCCTGTCTTGCCCTTGTCCCTGGAAAAGGGCAGGGACTCTTAACAGTTGGCAGGGACACTGTCCCCACCCACAGCAACCAAGTTTTCCCTCGCAGGGTGTCAGTGAGGGGTTGGCCTTGATATGAGAGATCTGTTTAGCCCACCTGGCCAACACACATAGAAACAGAAAGCCCATCCCTGCCATTTATTTTTCCATCTAACAGATTTTTCACAGACCTAGGAGGGACTTTCAGGTGACCTAGCTGACCTCCTCCCATCCCCACATCCCCTGACTTTACAGCCCTGACAGGTGACCTTCAGGGAAGGCCCCCGGCAGCATGTCTGGTTATAGTAAGTCCAAGCACTTGACAAACGTCACACCATTTTACTCTTGACATCTCCAGAAACAGGAACAATAATGCTGCCACATCTTTAACCGACAGGAAATCCACAAAGTCCTTTTGCAGAGGCTGATCTAAATTTCATTTCACTTTTTACTTTAAAAATTCTGTCAAATCCTCTCTGACTGCAGACAAGAACAGGTGTTCCCTTCGTTTTCAGGCAGGGTAATGGAGGCATGCTTGTCTCAAATGACCCAGCCTTTCGTTTCCCCCTCCTACTTCACCCAGGATGGCACTTGGCTCTCTCATCCTGGAAGGCATGCCGCGGCTCACCCATGGCAGCTCACCCATGGCAGCTCACCCATGGCAGCTATGGGAGTTTCTCCCTCCCCACTGCTTTCATTCTGGGCTGCACCTGAACCAGCCACCCATTCTTCCCTTGGTTGAAGCCCTAGCCAGAAATGGACCTTAGATTCAATGGCCTTGGTCGCTGTAGCCAATTTCCGCCCTGGCGACCTTGCTCAGAGAGAGGCTTTGAATGGTGCAGGCTCATCGCACTTTCCTCCTGCGGCCTCCGAGTCACACTTCAGACGCGCGTCATCGGAGAAGATGGAAGAACAGCATGTCGGAGCGGCTGACAGCATCACCACAGCTCTGTCTCTGCCCACTGCTCTGTCTCACCAGCCCGTGGTGGTGAGATTTCTCCTTTCTTCTCCACCTTCTGTCTCCAGCCCGAGACTTGTCAGCAGCTCCTTCGTGTAGCAAACATATGCAACGGGTTGACTTAAAAGGTCAATTGCAGCAGATTTGTGCGTGTTCTCTCACTCTGACGTAGAAGTCCCATGCAAGCCAAGGGAGTACAACCAGTCCTCGATGCAGGCTCCCCCTGCTCCAACTCCCAGCTTCTTGCTCCTTCACCACTGCCCCCATGCCTGAACAGTGTCTACGGCCAAGGAAGGACAGAACGTGAGCAGGCTGGGTGCCTCTCACCACCTTTTCTGCACCAGCTCGAGATCTGGACATGCATTTCCATCAAAGTTGCCCAGCAGAAGCCATCAGATCTGTAAGCCCCAGAGCGGCCAGATGGAGAAGACATGGGGTTAGGGGCCTGCCCTTTTGTAGAGATTGACCACAGAGTTCAAACAGCTTGACAGTGTGGAGAATTTAGGCTGTACAAAGTCAGGGAGCCTGTTTTGGCTACGATCTCGAGGAAGAAGTCATTCCTATTAATGAGGCACCTGTCCTAAAATGCAGTTCTGAAATCAGGGTCCAGAGTCTTCAGTGCCCTGAGAGATTCTTCCAGATGGTCAGCAGGCTGTCACTTCCAATATTAATGTTGAAAATATGGCAGTGTCAACACTTCTGCTTCCAGCATGATGTAACCATGGCCTTTCCTTGGGACATCTCTGAGAACCATGGAGTGTCACCCCGAGGAGGGACCTTCAAGAGCTCCAAATCCAGCCTCATTTCACGGATGAAGAAGCTGAGCCCTGGAACCAGGGAGAGGCCCCCCATAGCTCAAGAGACTGATACACAGTAGGGCCAGAACCTAGGTCCAGAAAATTATATCACACCACCTTAACGAAGTGCCTGCCAAACCCCATGATCAAACAATAGATCTCCCACTGAAGTCTGGGGAAGGTTCTTTGCATGACAAGGATGAGGGGAGTAGCTAGACCCAGGAATTTTGCCTGAGATATTGGAGAACCATTGTGATTAATCTGATTTAATCCATAAAGGATGTATTAAGCACACTTTTAATTATATAATAATTACATAATATCAAGTCAGTTCAGGATTTTCTCTTCTCATCCTGAGAGCTGCAAGATCTGTCTAGGACACCATACCATCACTTACCCCAGCATACTCTACAGCTATGGTTTTCAACCATGTGCATCAGAATCACCTGAAAGGCTTCTAAAAACACAACTTGCTGGGTCCCACCCCTAGAGTGTCAGATTCAGGAAGTCTGGGGTGGGGCCTGAGAATGTGCATTTCACACAAGTTCCCAGAAGACTCTGGGACCCCAGGTGACCTTGAGAACCATGCACTGGAGTTTCAGTAAGACTGACATCCATTTCCATGAACCCCATCCCCCAAGTTGCACATTCACAACCGATGCACAGTTGCTCAGTCTCCTTCCGCATCGGCAACCATATCTGAAGTTTCTGCCCAATTAAGACAACTCACTCATGCTACAACATAACCTATTACCCCATTAACAGATGGTTGAAGATTTGGGTTGGCCTCCTTCCCAAGATCGCCTGCCACTGTGCTGTACCAAGTTCCCCCAAACCAGACAAAGCAGATGAACCAGCAAGGACTTTCCAACCACTACTCTGACAGTAAACTATTCCTGAGATGCACCCCATTGCCCCAGCTTTGCCAGAGATTGTTGAATGCCAGGAGCTGTCACAATCTGGTGAGAGGGACCCTAAAGCAGCACTTACCCTTGGTCTTCTCCATTCATTCCCCTCTTCCAGGGCTATGCTTCATTTCCAAAGCAGCTGACACTCGCCTGCTGCAGGTACAAAAGTCTACAATATCCACTGCAGGGGGAGAGCCACTCCTACATAATGTATGGAGTTCCTCCCTGGCTCACGGCAGGTTGGAATGCTTCCACCTCAGAAAAGGCCAAGGCAGCTGCTCGCATCAGCAGGTGTCTTCCAACACAACAGCCTTCAGGGCTCATCAAACCTCCTGGGAGACTGGTTTGTTCACTGGGGCACAGATAGAGCCAGGAAACAAACCCCAATTGAGGTTCCAGGCCCAGTGCACATTAACCAATCAAATAGCAGAGTGGGTTCATTGAGAGCTTGGCATGGGGTCAGAGAAGCCAGGAACCACATTATGCCTGTTCACCTGGAGCTAGTTGTGTGGCCCTGGGACAGTCAGTTAAGCTTTCAAAACACCAGTTTCCTTATCTGTAATATGGAGAAATATGATACCTACCTTACAGATCTGTTCACAGGAATAAAAAAATATACAGATGTGTATGTAATACTTGGCAGAGCACCCAGCACATAGTAAGTGCATAATAAATGTTAGAGGCTCTTATTATTGCTACTTTCAAGAAAAACCAGAATGCCCTACACCTAGTTCAAAGTGCCATGTGTCTAAGGCTGTGTGTTGGGTGTGGGGGGGGAGGGGTGTCTCAGATTCTAAATGGGCCTCTGCAGACAAACTGGCTGGACCACCTTAGTGAACATCCTGGGTGCCCACTTTCTCCTTATCCAACCTCCAACAGCTCTGGCCAAGATTCTCAACTGCCCTCTGGCTGCTGCACTTGCTTCCCTTAGTAGAGGCCTCTCCTGATGTTTTCTAGATATCTACTCTTGGCCTCTCATCAAAGTCCATTTTAAGCCACAATGCAGCTCTGACAATGTGCCTCTGCTGATCTCAACACTTTTCGCATTTCTGCCATCACTAGAATGTTCCTTGGAGCCAGGAGCCCTGTTCCTCAGCCAGAAACTGGTCAGAGGTTTTTTTCTCTGCCACCATATAACCAAGACATGCCCATTAGCTGGCCCTCACAGGAATCTGCCAGCCATGAACCAAGCTAAGGAATCTTTCAGGAATTTTTCTCAAGCTATAGGAAAAGAACATCTGAGGTTTGACTGAATGCTCTCTGGAAGGAAACACAACTCAAAATCTTACTCTCAGCCCATTCATTTGAGAAAATTCTGTTCCATTGGTGTCATCTAAGTGCTGGACACCTCAAAGAAGACTTGAACTATTAATAAACTTTTTATTTGCAAGAAGCAAAGGTCCCCTCCAGCTACAGTTAGGATAAGAGATTGTTGTGCATATATAAGGAATGGGACAGGCTAGGACAATAAGTCATTAGCAGAGGAGTTGGCTGCACCCTCTTTTCTCTTTCCTTTCCTTTATGATACTGCCACTTTGCTTTCGCAGCATGCACCATCCTCCCCTCTCTGAGGGTCACCATCTCCTAACTTCAACTCAGACTAAGTCCTTTCCATGATCTTTGAGCTTAAGAATCCCCACTAGCAGCTCAATTTTCCAACTCTAAACTCCTGAGGGAGCAGAACAATCAACCTGACTCATCTTTTTTTAAGCTCTCAATTGCAAGCCAGGATGTGGCTGGGCAGTTCTGTGTGCTCACCTCTGCCATAATAAGCCATGGCTATTACGGGGTTGGAGGAGGGCAGGGGAAGGTGACATGGTACAAAGCAAAGCAGCTGCTCACTCATCCGGAATGATGCGAAGAGCAGCTTCTCTCAGAAGAGGTTGTGGCTGAGCAGGGAGGAGAACAGAAAAAGAAAATCAAACTCATGTGCCAGATAGAAACCATCCCAGCAGAGCATTTCCCCACCCAGAGCTGTGCCAATACAGTGACCAACAGGGCAGTGGCCGCAGGATGAGTGTGGAGAGCAGGGCCTGGTCGTATCTTTCCAAGATGGGCAAAGATCCCTTCGGAATCATATTTATCTCTTGACTGAAAACATTTTCAAATGATTCCTGCCTCTGGGTAGGGAACCATGTGCCATGCTTCATATTGCTTTATATACAGGCAGGACTCAATCAAGGTTCTGGAATGGACAACAGAAAAGGATAAAGTAGAAGGTGTCAGGAGACAGCTACATCCCCCATGGACTGGAGGTGTTTTAGAAGCCATCCCCTCTCCTCCCTGATCTGAGCAGGAGAGGAGAAGGAAGCTGGAAGAAAATGACCCCAGTAATGTCTCCAAGGAGTAATACTTGGTCATGAATACCCCATGGAGGGGCATGTCAGGGTCAACCCAGCTCCTTCCATCAAGATGTGGGGAGCTAAGAATGTCCCACCCAATACTGCTCCACCAGGAAGGAAGCAAGGGAGCTTATACCCACTCTTGCCAGCCTGTTTACCAAGACTTGGGTACTTTAGACATGGTCAGAAGTTCTGGCAGTGCCAAGATCAGCAAGAGGAAAGCAGCATGAGAGGCCCAGCCTGCCGGTTGCCTAAGAGTTCTCTGGGTTGAGCCACGGCATAACCAAGAACCTCCCCAATTGCTGCACAGGAGGGTTTGGGGTCAGTCACAGGAGCCATGGCCCACCTGCAACCTTTTGCCATGCAGCCTTACAGAACTGGGAGAAAGCCAGAGAAGCAAGAAGGAGGGAGGCGTGGGGAGTAAATGCTGGCATGCAGCCAAGCTCTGAAAGCCGAAGTTCTTTTCTAGCACCCCAGCTAAAAGCAGTGACAGCCTCCTGTATTGATTATGCATGCACGCCACTGAGCGAAGAGTCTGGTTGGGCGAGGGCTGAGGCCTGCTGGATAATTTATATGCTGGCGTTGGTATTCACAGAGCCACGGGCAGAGCTCAAAGGAAAGAGGTGGAGAACAGAAGATACAAGCAAACTGCCACACTTCCGCAGCTCCAGTTTGTGGAGCAGGAGGGTCTCCTAAAGAGAGCAAGCAGGAATGGTACCCAAATGACACATGGCTCCCACTGGTCATAACATCCTCCAGCTCCAAACCCAAGCCATCCTCTCACCAGTAGACTTTGACTTCTCCATCTGGAGGAAGCCTAACCTATATTCCCAGCTTGAGCTAGGTGCCTTTGTTGGTGCTCCCCCAATAACCTAGGGCTGTCTTGATCGCAGGCTTCCAATTCATCCGTCAGGTCAAAGCACATCTGTAAGGAAGCCTTCTCCCGTGTAACTAAGATGGACCTCCCATTAGGTTCTAATAGCGCCATATACCTCTCCTTTATATCTTCATCCCTATTTGTATTTATATTTTCATTTCCCCCAAATGTGAGCTTCATAAAGACAGGACCTTGTCTGCCCTCTGAACCACTGTATCTCCTGCACCTACTGCAGCACCTTCCCTGCAGAGAAGCTCAATAGAGAGTGATTTTTAAAATGATAAAGGAATGAGATTTGCTACACCATACTACAGTCATATGTGTTGCTCTCTGTTGCCACCTAGCCTGTGAGATCCTTTAGGGCGCAGAGACCGCAGCTGGTCTTTTCTACCCAGCACAAGAAGGGCAGTGGGGTCAAGTGTTTCTGGTACCCTTGGAGATTATACTTTTCATCACCAAGATAAACCAAACTCACCTCATTATTTTCTTTCCCAATGCTTAGCATAATTCCTAACCTATAACAGGTGCTCAGTGTCTATTTTCTGATAATTTACCTTTTAAGGAGCCCTTGTCTAAGATTGAGAATTTGCCCTCTATGGCCAAACATTGGCAAATAGGCCCTTGAGTGGTGCTGGCATGGCCAAACAGTCCCTCATGACCGCCAGACATGGACAAAGGCAGTACTCGGAGATGAAGGAGCCCTGCCCAGGAGGTGGGAGACCCACACTTTCTGGCTGGGTGACGTGGGAAAAGCCTCAAACTCCCACAACTCTAAAAGGAGAGGAAATATTCCTTGGCCCATGGGAAACGAATCTATCATCCTATGTTGTGGTGACAAGCCACAGCGGGTTCGTCATACAGATCCGAGTTTGAATCCCACATTCTCTGATTTCTGGCTGTGTGACCATGGATAAGGTGCTTGACCCAAAGCCCAGTTACCTCATCTGTAAAATAGGTCTGAGGATAGTTTACAAGGACTACATAAGATGATGCAGGAAAAGCACTTGGTTACAATGGAGCCCAGCTAGCAGTTTATTGACAGCAACAGGTTATAGTAGAAAAACCATGGGTTTGGACTGAGAAAGGTCTCTTCCACTTTGCTGGGTAATTATGGACAAGCTGGGTTCTATGCTTTAGTTTCCTTGTCTGGAAAATGGAGCAAACAAAACAGTCTCTCTCATTCCAGCCTAGTTCACGCCCACCCAAGACGCCCGCAGTTGCTCTCCTCAGCTCTTCCGTTGCTCTCGCTCTCTCATCCCTCAAGTCTTAGCTCAGATGTCATCTCCCCAGATGGGCTGTCCCCGCACCTCTCTAAAGTCACACACCCACCCTTTACTTTGTTTTATTTCCTTCCTGGCAGTCACTTCTGTCTGAAATTATCTAATTGTTATGTGTTTATTGTCTATCACCCCTCTCACTAGAATCATGGCTCTATGAAAGCAGAAAGCCTGATCTTCCCTGTACTCACTACACCATGGTGCCTTGAGTGCTACATCTTAGGCACTCAACAAACATTGAATGAATGAATGAATGAACGAACGAACGAATGAACAAACCAACAATCGAGCAATTAAACAAACAAACACCCTCCAGGGTCACTGTGAAGAAACAAATGGATGACACCAGGAACAATGCCTAGCACAGTGCCTGGTTCATACTGGCCTCTTCGGGTTAATTTTTCTTTCTTTCCCTGAGAGCTAATTTTTCAAGAACTACAGTTCTTAAACATTATCTCAGCTTGAAATTTAAAACTTACTTAAATTAAGCCAAGGTTACCAGACAGGGAAAAAAAAGGGTGGGGGGTCGGGGGACAGTCATAATTAACCTCCCCACACAGATCTCCACCAAGGGCTTCTTAACACCTCTGAAATGTCTGAGCAAGAGAGCCTCCCAGGATCCCCTGAGTGCTCCAGAAGACAGGTCATCAATTGAGCCACTTCTGCATCTGCACACGTTGCAGATTAGACACAAAGACAAATGGCATTCAAACCAGTGCCAAGGGGGTCAGCGCCAGCCGGGGCGTAGATTGCTGGCTGGGCCCCTGAGAGGGCTCAAGGCTGAAATGCTGGCCTGACCAGGACCAAGACTGAGATATCTACTCTAGCATGCTGGATCATCCTTCTCTCCTCTGCAACTACTGCCACCTGTCCGTAGCCATCCGCCTCTGGAGCCCCTCTGCTCATTCTGGCTCACCCCACCCTTCTCCTTCTAACCCACCCGCAGCATAGGTAGCTCTCCCACTCTTCCCAAGGCCCTAGGCAACCATGGTAGATGAGCGGGTCCTCCCTTCTTCTGCCAGATGCAGCCAGGCCCGGCAGGCCAGGCCCTGACTATAAAGGGTCAAGGTGGCAATGACCTCACCTAGATCACACATTCTAGGAGCCCACACTCTGAGCCACTGAGCAACAGCTTCACTGGAACTCAGAGAAGTAGCACATCAGAGATCAAAAGACTCACACAGGTGGCTCTCAGAGCTTGGACTCCCCAGCAATGGGTTGAGTTTAACCTCAAGATGTTCACCAGAGCTTACTGCCCTGACCTTCTCCCAACTCTCCTGGGCAGACATAAGGAGCACCAGATATGAGCCTCCATGGTAAATGTCAAAGAAAAATGTTGCAGTCCTGTACTCTCAAACACCACGTTGCCTATCAAAACGCCAAAGCAAGGCTGCAATGGGATGAATCTGTGGTTTCTCATGATTGTGCTCAGCCCACTGCATCTAGAAAATCCTTTTCATGCAGATGGAAGGGACCGATGTGGGTCGCACATCATGTCCTCGCTCCAAACCCAGCGTGCGTTACCTCCACTGGACTAGATGGAGTATAGACACAGCCCCCTTTCTATGCCTATGGGCCAGAGTCCAGATGCAGAGGGGGAGAGTTAGCCTAGCAGCCAGCCGCAGAGGATGGGCACTATGATACCATGTCTAGCAGGACAGGTGGGTGAGGTACAGAGAGAGAAAGGCAGAGCCCTCAAGCCACCATGCATTGATGGGTCCAGTGCCTGGCAGGAGGGCTTTCCAAGGGCAGGGGCTGCCAGATGCCTTGAACTCTGAACTCTGTCTTCTGGTCAGTTCAGACATAACTTTTTTTTTTTTTTTTTTTTGAGACAGAGTTTCATTCTGTCACCCAGGCTGGAGTGCAGTGGCACAATCTCGGCTCACTACAACTTCCACCTTCCAGGTTCAAGCAATTATCATGCCTCAGCCTCCTGAGTAGCTGGAGTTACAGGTGTGCGCCACCACATCCAGCTAATTTTTGTATTTTTAGTAGAGATGGGGTTTCACCATGTTGTCCCGGCTGGTCTTGAATCACACCTAACTTTGGCCTCTTCAGTCCATTTGTGCTTGATATTCAAGTTTCTTAGTAAAAGGAGCCAATTCTGTTTGTAAGACATAGGCCCTTACCCTCCAGCAGACTCCCTGGCTAGCCTGTGTTTCCTAACACTGCCCTGACTCTTTAAAAGCCTTTCATGTGATGCTTTTCCAGGCTCCCCTACCCAAACTTACAGTTATTTAAGCAAAATCGCATCTGGATGCCAAGCCATACCAACCTGCTGTGTGACTTTATGCAATCCTAAACCTCTCTGAGCCTCAGTTCAAGTATTTCCAGAATGAGGGGTTAAATGAGACAAGCTCCAAAGTTTAATTTAGCACTAATCTTCCATAATTGTTTGAAAGAAAAGTTTATCCACTGGCCCAGCCCCAAACCCCCCTAGTTATGAATTTGCTTGCACTGAATCATGCAGTTCTCATGGCCTTAAAGCTCTACCCAAGAACCTTAAGGAGTTGTCCGCAACAATAATATCCACTATCTCAGAATTGAACCTGGACCTCTTTGCCTTCTGGGGTCCCAAGCCAAACAGGCTTTCTAAACTTTCTCTCAGCTTGCTAAATATTGTAAATAAGTCAATTTCTTCTCCCCATATTCCATTAGAGGTGGGGTATCAGGAAGGTAGAAGGCGTTGGGTAGGTTGAGAAGAAATTGAAAGTACTGGTTAATGGTAACTTCTTTTAAGAAAGAGAAAAATGCGAAGGTTCAAGCTCAGTGGCTAACACCTCCCAGGGCCTCTCCTACCCCTGCCCTCTTTGTGCAGTTTTTGCGTTGAAGTCTGCCCCAGCATTCTGGAGCCACACCACCCTCTCTAGGAGAGGAATTTCGGTGCCAAGCGTCTGATGGCTCCTCACATCAACACCCAGGGAGTCCTTCTTCACACTGATCTCTCCCTCATCCTCATATCCAATCCATCATCAACTCTGCTCAGAGAGTATCACCAAAATATGTCTTGACTCTGCCAGCTGTCACCCACAACTGCTACCCCTACTCCATCTCCAGCACCTATTACACTGTCTGAACCCAGCAGGTACTCAATAAAGATTTGTTGAATTGAATGAAATCCAAGAAGTCTTCTTTTTCTCTGAGAAACAGAACGGAGAGAGGCTATTTTTGCAGAGCAATGGTGAGTTCAGTATCTCCTATCCAGCTAAAGCATAAATAAGCACCCCACCCCAAGCCCTGTACCACTACCTGAGTTGAGTCCCTCTCTGCCTCCTTCCCAGACAGGTTTCAAAATTCAGGAGTGACAATGACACCACAGGCATCTCCTCACTCTATGGATAAGATCTGAGTGCCCGTATCAGTTTAACATCTGAGCAGTATTAATAGCCAGGAGCCATCTCCTGCCCTTAGGCAGTGTAACAATATCCTGACAACACACACCCTGCACTTACACACTTGCACACATGTATGCTCTCTCTCTCACACACACACACACACACACACACACACACACACACACACACTTTCGGGCAGCCAAAGGGGGCAGGGATATAGCTCAGATCTCTCCAAAGGGGCCTCGTGGCAGCCCCACACAGGAATACCAGGATTTTGTACCTCAGTCCACTGGCCCAGCTGGCATGATCTCAATGAGTGCAACAGACCACCCTCCCCCCCTCACCAGGGCCAGATACCCAGGAGTTGGCACACAGCTCAAAGAGGGGAAGGGATGATTTAATATCCCCTGCTCATCCCAGTTTCTGGAACTCTGACCCATCGGCATGGTGGTACTTGCCACAAGAGGCCCTGAGCTAAAGAGTGACCTAGGGGTCTGCTTGGTTCCCCCATCATTTCCATCTCAAGATTTTCCTCATTCAGTCACACTGGTGGCACCACTCCCACATTCCCACCTCCATCACACCAGCCCTAGACATGTCTGGAAGGAAACTTCCAAGCCAAAGAGATGAAACCAGGCTTTCCCAGTCTATCTGGCCACACAGCCAAGCAACTCTAGATCAGGGTGGGGAGCTATGGGAAAGGGACTATTGCAGCGGAGGCCAATGCCTGCAGGGGTCCTCCCTGGGAAGGTCTCAGCCTCCTCCCACAGCCTCATCAAATGCACTTCCATGTTGGCCCGTCTGTCCCTCCGTTCTGACTGCTCTGAAGCATGTTTCATCACAGTCACAAATACAGGCTCTGGAGTCAGTCTAGGTTCAAATCACACTTGTAAAGGGGTATACCGAGGGAAGCCATAAAACCTCTCTCAGCCACCATGCTCTGTCTGTAAAATGCAACCCATGAAGTCCACCTCACAAGATCACCATGAGAAGGCAATGAGTTAACTACCATGTGTAAAGCTTCTGAAACATGTAAGTTAGTCCTTCACCAATGGTCATCCCCCTGGCCCAGCCCCACACCCCACCAGTTGTGAATTTGCTTGTAATGAAACACACAGTTCTTCTGGTTTTACAGCTCTATCCAAGCAGATGCTTTGAAAAATAAGGGAAAATGAATTTTCCTTGTACTTTTCTGAGGAAATTTCATTGTCTTCCCTTATGTAGGACGCTTACCTGGTTAGAAACAAATCGATTTCCTTTCATATATAAAAGAGAGTCACTGGGTGGGGGCAGCAGCTCATGCCTGTAATCCCAGCACTTTGGGAGGCTAAGGTAGGTGGATCACTTGAGGCCAGGCATCCGAGACTAGCCTGGCCAACATGGTGAAACCCCATCTCTACTAAAAATACAAAAATTAGCCAGGTGTGGTGGTGGGCACCTGTAATCCCAGCTACTCGGGAGGCTGAGGCACGAGAATCACCTGAACCCGGGAGGCAGAGGTTGCAGTGAGCCAAGATCGCACCACTGCACTCCAGCCTGGGCAACAGAGTGAGACTCAGTAAGTAAGCAAGTAAGTAAGTAATTAAGTAAGTAAGTAAGTAAATAAATAAATAAATAAATAAATAAATAAATAAATAAATAAATGTTACTGACACAAGCTGCATTCTTCCAATTCCCAGTCCCACCATTATCAGACAACACTGCTGGTTGTCATTGTCATTCTGTCACCAGCTTCCTCAATGATATGCTCATTTGTATAATGTTCTTCCCAATCCTCTCCCGAGAAGAAATCTGTGACTTAGAGGAAAGCCTGAAAGATGGGCATCGGCTGTCACAGTGGTTCTTTCTGGGAGGTGGAATTCCAGGTGATCTTCATTTTCTTTTCTATGAATTTCTCTGTTTTCTGAATTTTGTTGTTTTCTAGTTTGTGTTGTTATTTTGCAATGCACATGGCACAGGTATTCCTGTTCAAAATGAGAAAGTTCCAGGCTTTGTCTGTGGAAGGTAGTTCCTGAAAGGGAACTGAGGATAGGAGGGTGAGACATTCTCATTTGGCCCTCAAGGACTAGGCAAGAAGTGGCCCAATGTAACAATGTGCCTCAATTGTGGAAGAGGGAAGGAAAGGTATTTGTTCATTCAGCAGGTGTTCACTGAGTGCTCACCATGTACAAGGTGCTGTTTGTGAACCAGTTAAAGCCCCAACCAGCCTTCAGGGTGATGAGACCCTATTCAGATGAGACAAGTGATAAGCAAAATAAACACATGTGTAACACGTCAGATGGTGGCAAGGGCTATGAATACGAAGTACGGTAAGGACGGCCAGAGTGCTAGGGGAGGAAAGTGCTGTTGTGGAAAGGGTAGTTGGGGGAGACTTCCACAATGAGGCTCATCTATGCACAGACCTGGGAACATGAAATGGCCAGGATGGATCACCTGAAGTCAGGAGTTTGAGACCAGCCTCACCAACATGGTGAAATCCCATCTCTACTAAAAATACAAAAATTATCTAGGTGTGGTGGCGCATGCCTGTAGTCCCAGCTACTTGGGAAGCTGAGGCAGGAGAATTGCTCAAACCCGGAAGTGGAGGTTGCAGTGAGCCGAGATTGCACCACTGCACTCCAGCCTGGGCGACAGAACAAGACTCCATCTCAAAAAAGGAAAAAAAAAAATGGCCCGGAAAATTGCCGGGACAAAGGCTTGGAGGTGGGACTGGGATCAGAGAGTTTAAGTGGCATCAAGGAGGCCAGCATGGCTGAGTCAGAAGAGGCAAAAGAATGGAAGAGGAGGCAGAAGGGCAGGAAGGTGCTGGGTGCCAGGGCCAGGCCCAGGGGACACTGCAGGTGGTTGTGAAGACCTTGGGGCTTACTCAGAGTGGAACAGGAGGCCAGCAGAGGGTTTTGAGCAGAATAACATGATCTGACCTACTTATTAAAGGATCACTCCAGCCTGCTGAGTGGAGAAACAAATGCACAGAGTCAAGAGTGGGAGCAGGAGCACAGTAAGGAGGTCACTGCAGACATCTAGGCAAGTGGTGGTGGGGGCGGCTTGGACCACAGAGGTAAGAAGTATAGTCATATTCCAGGTCCATTTTTAAGGCAGAGCTGACAGGATTCGCTGGTAGATTGGATGTGGGATGTGAGAGCAAGAAAGGAGTTGAAAACTGTTCTAAGTCTGTTAGGTCTGAGCAACTAGGTGGGTGGAGTTGCCTATTTCTAAAATAGAGAAGTCTGGGAGGAGCAGATTGGGGCAGGAGGTAAAATCAAAAGATGTTAAAGCAAGAAAGATTTTATTTGAATTAGAATTAGACACACAAGTAGAGATGGTGATCAAGCAGATGCATACACAAAGTGAGTCTGGCGAGAGGTCCAGGCCAGACATCATTCTGAGAGCACTAAAGTAGATAATTTACTGATAACTCCTCAATATTCCCAACCAACCCGTAGGAATCCGTAGGGTAGGTATGACGCCATTCCTATTTTGTAAATGACAAATCTGAGACTCTGAGAAGGGAAATTACTTGCCCAAGTTTGCACACACAGAACTCACCTGCATTCACATTTGGCTGCTCTGATTCCAAAGTCTATGTCTTAGGCCTTAAGAAATCCAAATTATAATAACCACACTGCCAAGAACTCAATGAACATAGCAGCCCATACCTTCCCCCATCTGTAGGCAGAGCTCCACCTACTTACAAGATCTGCAATTGTCCTTGTTGCCCAATTTTCCATGGCATCTGACCCCAAAGTGGTTGTCTAGCCTTGCACATAGGCTTCTGCCTTGGTTTCCTGATTTGCCCCCCAGTCTTCCAATGAGCCAGAAATCAGGCTCTAAACACAGTACTGTATCCCTAATGCCCTATCAGTCTTTCCAGTTCCCTCCCTGGAATCACATCTGCGCTCCAGGTGGGAGGTAACCTTGACCTGGAGATCCCATGACCTTGATCTCAGATGGCTCCTCACACTGTGGGATCTTGATCAAATCACTTGACCTCTAAGCCTCAGTTTCCCCAACTGTCATGGGGTGGAAAAGGAGTTAGACTACAATCTTTTTCTAAACACAAGTATCCTATAGGGGAAAAACCTTGAATCCTGCAGTCCTGTTTTTGGTCCCGGATGTAACACTTACTAGCTGGGGAGCCATGAGCCATTTAATCCATCCTGTTTCTCCATCTCTAAAGCCAGGGTGACAATATTAGCTGTGCAGGAGTATGTGGAGGACAGTCACATGGCCCGAGTGCTCCCTATGTGTTAATTTACCGAATACTCATTTTAGAAAAGTTAAAGAGCATACAGTGAATTGGTAGTGAAGTTGTAATTAGAGCTCAAATTTCCCAACTCTACATAGGGACTCCCCTTCCTCCACAGTACACATGAAAGCTTCTAGCATATTCCACTCAGCTATCTGATGAGTTCTCGTACCTCCTGCCTCAACCTATCCCACATCCCCACCCAACCTCAAAAAAAAAAAAAAAAACAACTAAAATCCTAATAGTTCAGTTAGCCCCGACTCTCACTTCTTCAGCTCCTACTTCCAAGAAAATCCTGGTAGAGGTTATTAGGAAGGAAAGAGAAAAATGAAAAGAAAATCTCCATGCCTGCTCCATCCATCACCAGAAGCGAAGACTTCCTATTAGCAGAATTTGGCCATCGTTATTACTGTGGCCACAGCTCCTATATACCAGAACCAGAGTGATGTGAAGTGTTGAGTGTGGATTCTAACATCAGACCATGTGGGTACCAATCCTGGCTGCACCAACTACTAGATTAGATGACCTTGCACATGTCACTTGATTCTAAGCCATCCCCAACTACAAAGATGATGGTATTACCTCTGAATGGCATGTAGACTCAGGAGGTAATCACTCAACTAGTAAACAAAAAGCAGGGAGTTACCTACCCAAGTCTGCATGAGTGACCCCAAAGCTCATGCTTTTCCCTCCACATCTTGAAACCCAGAGCATTGCAAGCTTTGAGGAAAAAAAAAAAAAAACACACACACACCACCAAAACATCTCTCAGATTTACACCTCACATACTTGCTAAGAGATCTTGGGCAAATTACTTAACCTGTCAGAGCCTCTGTTTTTGTCATTTGTAAAGTGAAGACACTAATACCTGCCTCATGGGGCTTCATGACGATCTGAACAGCACACGAAAAGCTTGGGCACAATCCATGCACAAAGTAGCCCCTTGATAACTCCGAGCGTCATGCTCACTGTCACCTTAGGGCTACTTCAAAAAAAAGAAGCATGCACATGTCCAAGATAGTCCTGGCATGCAGGTATTCCATGACTGTTTTCTGAAATTTAAAAGCCAAGTGTTTAGGGTCATATGGCTTAGGAATGACAAAGCTGATAATCAAAGCTTTTTTGCCAGCATCCCCTTTCTTCCAAGTCTAGGGCTCTCCCAAAAGCCAGCTAGAGCAGTGTGACCATCTGAAATCAGGGAGCATCATGTTCCCACCACTATCCTGTCCCTTTTATCTCCCCTACTGCAGCTTAGTTTTCAGCCACCCCAACAGATCCACACACAGGAGGAAAATCACCAAGTCAGAAAAGCCCTCTTTTGCCAGCTCAGGGAGAGGACCCCCTATTAAAAAGGCTTCTACGTCCATTTCAAGGAGCAGAAACAAAAAGCGTCCTATTGACTTTGAGGCATAAAGCAAATTAATTCTCCAAACATAGTCCAGAGCGCATAACCACCCAGTGAGGGCCCACTAAATACAAATGGAAACCAGCGCAGCGATTCTGAAGACATCAGATCCCTGAGGAAATGGTAATGTTGCAAAGGCAACTATCAATCAAAGCCAATCCTAGAGGAGCTATGCATGTACACGCTGCAAAAAGAATAAAAGACTCAAATCCATAAAGCATGAACTCAGGTTCCTGCACCTCAGGCTCTGCCTGGGAAGCCACAAGGCCTTTTAGAGGTATTTTGCAGAAAGCACCAACCCTCAGGATCCCCTAAAAGATTCTTAGCCTCTTTTCTCTGAAGAGTGATGAAAACCATAGGAGAACAACATTGACCAACGAAGACTGGCTGGGTCCTTTACTGTCACCCTTTCACTCTGCCTCTCCTCCTTCCTGCCCAATGCCAAGATGTGTCAAATGTACCTCCATGGACTAGATTCTAGAATTGGCTCTATGGCCCAGCTTAGTGGCTTCTGCTGAGACAGTAGAGCCAGTGTCAGCCAGGCAGTGTCCTTCCTGTCCCTGATTCTGCCAAATCCAGGGACATTACCACCCCTGGAGTTCTATTACCACAAAGATGAACAAGCCACCCCATGCACCAATACATACCATGCTCCAAGGACACACAGACTAAAGTCCAAATGCTTGTGTTCACTCTCTTGCATCTCCCCAAGTCCACTCTAGTCCCCACCCATGGTCTAGCTACAGGAGCATCCCATTGTGATTGGTCCAAAGACAGATATTTGATCCATGTTGGTCCAACCAAAATAAAGCCTGAGAATTTTGTTCAGTGGCTGGTGGACAAGTCATTCTCTCCAGATCTTCATTGTGAGGTGTGCTGGTGTGAGCTCTCAAGCTGCAGACCACTTCACTCCCATGAGCAGAGCCAGCCTAGGCTGAGATTATATCAGGCACCCCTAACTGACCCAAAGCTGAGGTCCATCACCTGAAATTTTACTCATGTGAACCCCATCCCCTACAAATTCCTCAATGGATTCAGATTAAGTTAGGATTCTTATAATAGGGATCATCCTAACTGAATCTCCTACCATTCCAGGTTCTTCAGAACCCTGACTCAGCATACCCTTTCAGCCCCATTTCTTACTCAGCCCTCCACCCATGTGCTGGAAATTTTGATCCCCTGTGTATTTGGAGGAATCTCTCCATTTCTTTCCTTTCATCATGCTACTTCCCTGGCCTGTCATCCTTAGTCCTTCTCTCCACATCTGCTGATATTCTTTAAATTCCACCTCCTTGGGGAAGACTTCTTCACACTCCCTTCACTGGCAGGAGGTCATTACTCCCTCCATCGAAACCCCTGGGTTCCCTCTATCCTATAATAGATCGAGGCCTCCTGCAGTGATTAGGTACATTCATATCATCCTCCACTAAAGAATGTCAACCATTACTCTTCTCTGTATTCCTAGCACTAAATGCAATGCCCTGGGCAAAGGAAGTGTCCAATAGATACTTGCAGAATTGAATTTGTGGAAGCCCACACAGTGCCAGCTCAACCAGCTTGGTCCGTGTATAGCAGTGGCTTTGCAGAAGGCATTCCCTTCTTCTCTCTCACTCCTCAGTCCTCTATACAGCCCCAGATGTACATCTCAGAGATGAAGAAATCAAATCTGTATCATAAACCTCCTTTAAGCACAGCATCCAAACTCGAGCAACACCAGCAGGGTTCCTCCATCCACCCAGCAAGGGCTGGACCACTTTTTACCAAATCTGCCCCAACTACTTGCGCAACTCCCTAGTTCAGCTCCCCAGGCTCCAGACACGGCTCTGCTGTCAACCACATGTGTGTCCCTGGACAAGTCATCTAGCCACTCCTGGTCCTCATCTCTACGCTGGAGGTGAGCTAGCCATAGGCTTTACATTTCTATGCACTCTCTAAGGAGTCAAGATTCTGTGAGGAAAATGGAACCTTCCCTCTCTAAACCTCTCATTTGGAGAAATGCCAGATGCCAATATTAAATAAAAGGTTAGAGTCTTTCCCACTGTCTAAAACAGCTTCTCTCCCTTTCTTATTTTCTGAGTAAAAAGACACATTTTCTCCCTAGGAGTCTAATATGGTACTGCCATAGACGCCAAAGAGAGAGAAGCCCTGCAGTGTTTCCTTCCCTCTTAAGACATAAGACTTGAGATGCCAAAATTTGCCAACTGCCTCATTACACCCAAAAGCTAAATCTGGAAGCTCAAAGACATGAGTGGCTGTTGTGGAAAAGTGTTCGTGATGCATCTTTATGTGAAAAATCAGGCTAGTGTGACAGCTTCCAAAATGTGATTCCAGTGCCTGGCATCGAGCGGGCGCTCAATTAGTACTTGTTAAATGAGTGAATGAACTCCTCTAAAAACAAAATAACACACCCTGGATTGCAGATGCTTAGAAATTAAGCTGGAATGATAGATATCAAAATTCTCCCATTGGTTATCTCTGGCGGGGAGATTTATAGGTGACTTATTTTTGTTTTTGGTGTTTTCTTAATGTTCTATAACAAACATATATTATTTTGTAATAAGAAAATCATCAACTCACATTTGTAAGGAGTTAATTGTTGTAAAATAAATAAATAACTACATGTACAAAAAAAGAAAAAAGTGACTGTCATCCAAACTCTACAACCCACACACGAGGCAACCTTCTTACTTCCCACACATCCGCCCCTTCTTGGAGAAAGCTTCCCCACCTTCCCTTTTCTATCTTGATTTCAGAAATCTGTAGAGTCAAGCTATTGCTTTCAAATGTTAGTCTCATCAGAATCAGAGCCCAGTATGGAGGGAGCTCCCTTTACCCCAAGACCTGAAGAAAAACAGACAGAAAGCCAGCCTGCCCACTTCTAGCTTCTCCCCTTGCCAGAACCAGCCCTTCAACCCCAGAAGAGATTTCAGTCAGAACATAGAGGAACCTCTATCTCACGGGGCACTTGTCCCCATGTGCAGACTCACTCACCTGCAGGACTGGGAATGGATATGAAAGAAATGAACTCCACATCCTGGCAAACCTTTCAGGAATTTAATATTTTATCATGCCCCATTGACACATCTCCTTTCTCTTTCTTCACCTTCTTGCCTCCTTCTCCTGGCTCTAGACAGAATTCATAACTAAGTCCCTGTACTTCTTCCTACCTACACTCACATCTACTGGTCAGCTCAGTTGGGCCAGGGGACCACACAACTTGGGTGAGCAGGCAGGGACAGTGTTCCAGTAGGCACCACGCAGAGGGTGGGACACAAAACTGCAAGTAACAAGCATCTCACTAATTAGCAACTAGGGATGAAAGGGAAGAGGAGAGAAAAAAGGCAATGGAGGGTATTACCTGAAAAAGTCATTTACTAGGGTTTCCAGGGCCAGCAGACCAGGAAGAGGGCTGGCCTGATGGTTCTTGCCAGAAGGAAGAAAAATGGAGCTTCCTTTCAGCACAGAGGGGCCGGCATGCCCTAAAGACGTCCCTTGTTTCATCCTTATTCTGGGTTCTCCCAGGCCCAGAACAAGAGGCCAATGGACTGTGGGGGATCCTCCTTGCCTCCCAACCTGCCATTGTTAGCATTACCCAGCAGGTGATGTCCAGGCAGGATGCAGAGATGTCCGCCGCCTGGGAACTGTGCCATCGCACAGACAGAAGCCCAGAGACAAGAGGCCCTGGCTCCAGACTCAGCTCTGCCACACCCAGCTGCTTCCTATCGAAAGTCACTGAACCTCCCAAAAACTTTTTTTTTCTCACCTGCAAAAAAAGGGATAAGAATTCCTACTTATCCTAGCTGCTGAAAGGATGTGGTGAGATAATTTTGATAGGCCAGGCGCAGTGGCTCACACTTGTAATCCCAGCACTTTGGGAGGCCGAGGCAGGTGGATCATCTGAGGTTGGGAGTTCGAGACCAGCCTGACTAACATGGAGCAACCCCGTCTCTACTAAAACTACAAAAAAATCAGCTGGGCTTGGTGGCACTGCCTGTAATCCCAGCTACTCGGGAGGCTGAGGCAGGAGAATCGCTTGAACCCGGCAGGCAGAGGTTGCGGTGAGCCAAGATCGCGCCATTGCATTCCAGCCTGGGCAACAGGAGCGAAACTCCATCTCAAAAAACAGATAATTTTGATAAAGTGTTTTGCACAGTGCCTAGCATCTAAGAGCTCCACACGTGGCCAGGATTATCAGTACTTTCCTAATTTCTCTGTTTTTTCTGACCCCCATCTGTCCTTCAGTTCTCAGCAAAAACATCTCGGTGGGATGTTAAGTGTAGGAGAGCCTTACAAGCTTTGGTTTTAGTTCCAGACTGGGCACCTTTCCATGTATCAGTTCCCTCTTCCGTAACAAGGCAACAATAATAACATTAGCTCTTCTCCAAGACCCATTGTGAAAATTAAATGAGGTGATACTTGTGAAGCCCTTGCAGCAGGGCCTGCAGACGGTGAGTGCTCAACGAATTTTAGCTATCATTGTCCCCCCCGGCCCCATCATTCTAAATTAGGTCTCTCTAATTCTCAGTGCCCCCCAATACTTTGCCTTCAGAACACTCATCATAATGTGTAATTATAGACATACTTGTGTTGTCTACCGCTTGCCCTTCCACCTAAGCTTAAATTCCATCAGGGATAAACTAAACGTCTCTCTTGATGGTGGCTGTATTCCCAGCACCTGGTATAGTGCCTGCATATAATAGGTGTTTAATAAATATCTGCTGGATGAACAAATGAATGAAAAAGTGAATAGAATATTAGCATTGGCACAGTGATCACCCAGGTCCCTTCCAGCTCTGAGAGTCTCCGACTATTCTCTATTCTGTGACAGCTTTAGAAGAAAAATTTAAAATGAGCCCCAAAGTAGCTGTTTCACCAATCCCAGGGGGAAGACTCAGGATGGTTGCTGCTGACAGGCTCCTGAACACTCAAGTTGTGCGGAGATTTACTCTGATTTTTTTTTTAAACTGAGAAGGCAGTCTGCCGAATTTCTAAGTTGGGATCATCCCCTCCTCCCTGAGGGCTGCCCACACACAAGGCACTAAGCAAGAGTCACTGCAGTGGGCAGCAGGGACCCAGGCCAGGCAAACCAGCTTTCTTTGTCAGCAATGGATAGCCAGGCCTGAGCAAAGGAGACCAAACCTCACAGAGCAACAGGTGACCATGGCAACCCATGTCCTCAGCCTGCACTCCCTTCCAAGGAAAGAGGACTTCACAAGTGCATGGAACAAAGGAGACCCGGGGCTACCCCTAGAGATCTCCACCTCACCTGGCCACAGAAGATGCTTGCTTATCATGCAGATTCCTGGGCCCCACCTCAGAACTTTTAAGTTAGGTCTATAGGTGGGGCCTGCAGACACCCGTTTTGTAAAAACTCCCTAGGCATTTCGGGCATATCGAAGTCTGAAAGCTGTTATTCTAATGAGAAAAAAACTGATCAATACACTATAAACATTGCCCCACTGGATATTACATGTGTGTGACCAATTACCTCCACACTTACCTAACTCTGGAAGAGATGCCAGCCTCCCAACACCTGCTTTGCAGGAGAGGCTGTTCCAAACTATCAGTTAGCAAGCCTGGTGGGATCACCTGGAAGCTTTAAAATACACCGAGGACAGGCTCTTGTCCCTAAAGAGTCTAATTTAGTTGGTGTGAGGTGCAGCATGGGTTTGGAATTTTAATATGGTGATTTCAATATGCAGCAAGTTTGAGAACTACAGCTTGAACTTATACTCATCACCCAGCTCCAACCACCACAAACACCCCAAAACAGGCTTTTCTCCACCAGAGGCTGGGCCTGAGTTGCCCTGGGCTGAGAAAGGAAGGGATGATAGAGTCCACACTGCAAGACCCTGGGATTTATGGGGCCCAGGATCTAGCCAGAGGGTCCATCCTGAGACCTCCACATCTTTATTTCCTAAAAGTCATGGGAGACTTCCTGAGCCAGTGTCTATGTCCTCAGTGTATATGGGACAATAGAACACAGCTGTAGAGGTCTCAACATCCTTTTTACAGAAATTTATTCCAGCTCCACCATTTACCAACTCTGCGGCCACAGGCAAGATAGTTAACCTCCCCAAGCTCCACTTTCCTCACCTGTACAACGAGAATGATTGCCTAACACTTATTCACTGAATCCTCCCAACTTCATATGCAAAGCACTTAACTTAATGCAGCGGCAGCTCAGCCAATCTTAGCCAATGAGAAAATATCAAATGGTTCTTTTTGTTACTACTGGATGCTTCATTTTTTTTCTTTTTTTCCCTTTAAAGGGGCTTGGGACTCTAGGTGGCTGTTCTTCCAACCTCAGATATTTTCAACTCCGCTAGGACTCCTTTTCTTGTGAAACCTTGCCAACTCTTTGACCTTGAACTTGTTACTTCTCTAAGCCTTAGTTTCCACATCTCCAAAGTAGGAATATAAAAGCGCCCTCCCCCATGTTTATTTTAAAAACCAAGCCAGGTGCAGTGGCTCATGCCTATAATCCCAGAACTTTGGGAGGCCGAGGTAGGTGGATCACCTTAGGTCAGGAGTTCGAGACCAACCTGGCCAACATGGTGAACCCCTGTCTCTACTAAAAATGCAAAAAAATTAGCTGGATGTCGTGGCACATGCCTGTAATCCCAGCTTCTTGGGAGGCTGAGGCAGGAGAATCCCTTGAACCCAGGAGGCAAAGATTGCAGTGAGCCAAGATCAAGCCACTGCACTCCAACCTGGGTAACAAGAGCAGGATTCTGTCTAAAACAAGAAAAAAAAAAAAACAAAAAAACAGAAACAAACAAAAAAAAAAAAACAAAGAACAAATATATGTCACATGCTGAACACGAGACTGGGTACACAGTCTCTATAAACCAAAGATGCTGAGGAAGGTGGAGAATAATTGTTCCTCCCTCCTTGAACTGGGGTTCAGCAAAGAGCCCTCTCCACCTGCCCTGGCACCCAAGAAGTAGGAAAGGTGCCTCCTGAAGGCTCTGGGAGAGTTGACAATTCCAAATTTGGAGCCAGGGGAAGAGGCAGCCCTAGTTCCCTTCCGACCCTCCTGGGGTGCCACTGGAGAATGCTGACTCCAGCTTGGGGCCCCTCTCAACCGCTCCCCATTTGCCACACTCCATTTAGCTCTGGCAATCCAATTCCCTTTCCTCCACCCAGAAATCGATGTTTAATTAACACATTATTGGAAAAAATAAACACAGTCTTCAATGGGACTGCAATGAAGCTGATGCAGCTCAGCCTAGGGGCTGCAGACCATCCTCTCAGTCAGAAAACTGTTCTTCTCCTATTCCCTGCCTCTCCACCAAGAAAAAGTTCCTTCTTCCTCCCTGGAGTCCTCCAGCCTGGGGGATCCCGCTCATTCCCTCTGTGCATCCTCCCTGCCTGTATCTAGGCAGCAGACCTGGCATCCCTTCCCACCCTTTATCCTGTGACACAGATGTAGGGGGATGTTGTCAGTGCACATGTTCCTGCTCCACGGGGGAAGGAGGTAACTCCTTCTGAACATCCCGCCTCCACCAGTGAGGCTGTGCATGATCCCATCTCCTCCTTCTCTCCAGGCCAGAACCAGCACCCCTCCAGCTCAGGGGTCAGCAGGTGTCTTCCCCTGTGGGTGTGGGGTAGAGGCAGGCCTAGAGGTGGCTGATAAGGATGATGATCCCCAGAGTTCCTATCCAGACCTCAGGAGCTGATTGGAAGACCTCTGTCTAGAGTATTTCCTCTTTTACCCCCAGTTTTAGATGATCCAATTCCCAGCTCCTCTTCTCCATGATTCAGGATGGAGGGTGGTGCAGAGTCCCTGGATTCAGACCCAAGTGTGGACCCAGGATCTCACTGTGTAATCCTAAAAAAGCGATTTAACCCCTCTGATCACCAGTTTCCTCAACAGATAAATGAGGACACTACCCACCTAAGTGAAAAATAGCAGAGCATGATGCCCTGCTCAAAGCAGGTGCTGGATAATTGTCCTTTCACTGAAATCTCACGCTGAGGGCCAGTCCCTGCTGCAAGGGCCATGGGGAGTGTGGCTGTCCCATGCAGGTTTAGGGCGACACAGCAAAGCAGAGACAAATAGGCTTCAGGTTCTCTACCTTCTGCCCACCTATCACCACCCCAAATCACCTCAACTCCCTCCTCAGACAAGGTGCATGAAGCAAGGAAGAAGGTAACGGGGACACCTTGGGAAACAGAGTTTCCTTAGTGCCATGCAAAAGACAACCAGCAGCATTACTCCTAAGCAGCAGTGCTACAACCAGCAGCCCCCTCCTCCTAAGCCTGAAATGCCTCTAACTGACAGCAGCACCTTCAGCAAGTCCCAGAGCTGTGAGTCAGCTGACTGCCTGGCAAATGGGCCAGCTCTTAGAATCAAGTTTCCAGACTTGCGGAACCAGAGGACAGGCCCATGGAGGTGGTACGAAACAGTGGTTAAGACCAGAGGCTTCAGAGCAGAGCCAGGCCCTTTGGGTTTGAATCATGATGTCATCACTTCCTACCTGAGTGGCCTTGGACATGTTACTTAACCTCCTTAGGCTTCAGTTACTTCATTTGTAAGACAGAGATGATAACAGTACCCACCTCACAGGATTGTTGGAGGATTATGTGAGATAATGCATGTCAAGTGCTTAGCATAGTATCTGGCCCATAGTCAGGTCTCAAATATTGGCCAATCGAAGCTTTAGTAAAAGTAGTTGGGTTTACAGCCATACCACCCTGAACATGCCCGATCTCATCTGATCTCGGAAGCTAAGCAGGGTCTGGCCTGGTTAGTTCTTGGATGGGAGTAAGAGTAGTTGAGAGAGAAGTAGTAGTCATGTTGGTAGTAGGAATACTCAGAAGATCCAGGTTTTTATCCTTCAGAAAGTGGGGGTAAGTGAAAGTAGAGCTGGGGAAAGGCTGTACTCTCAGTCACCTTCCTGCCCTAAAATTGGATTTCTCTCTCTAGTATGCCCCCTTCCTCTCTCTATTCCTTTAAGAGAAAGTGTGTGATGTCGTCTTAAAGAAGGATGGCCATATATTTTATCATCCAAACCGGGACACTTTTGAGAGTTACTAATTACACTAGGACAAAGGCCTAAACAGACACTGTCTCCCCACACCAGGGCGTCTGGCTACACCATCTCAAGGTCATGCAGAAATGCATTCATGCTCTGCTTCAAGGTCTTGGCTAAAGGTAAGACTTCCTTGCTTCTCAGAATCCAATTTTCTCTGGCCCCACCCCACCCCTGAAAAAAAAAACACACATTCATACTTGTCTAGAATGTCTAATCCTTCTCCCATTCAAGGTCAAGACCAACCCTAGAGTGGAACAGAGACACTGGTAGAAGGCCTTCACCCATATTGTATGACATCATGCCCCCCAACCAGCCTCTGGAAACACAAATGAAGCACACTGGGGCCAATGTCTGGATTCATGCTTCCCTTCGTGAGAAAGAAGGCTAGGCCAGTCTAGGAGAAGTGACAGGCTCCCAGAGTCGTCAGCATCCAGATACCAGCTGCTTGGCTCTCTGAATGGAGCCTCTGCTGGACCTGAAAGTACCCTTGACGGGCAGGGCTATATGGGATTGAGAACCTTGAGCACCCCACTGGAATGGGGGTCCTCCTCCATTCCAGTTTCTCCTCCCCCAGGAAGGTCAGAAGACAACCTTAACCACCACTCAGCTGGAATATAGCCCACCAGTCTTCTTCGAGCCATGAAACCCTGACCTCTAGCTCTGCAAGTGTGCCTTCCTTAGAGACACACCTACCACCCACCTGCCCCACCAAGACCTCACTCCCCTCTGAAGAAAGAGAACTAAGAAGGCACCCCAGGCAGCCCCCACAGCAGCAGCTGCAATACCCTTGGAAAAGGGCCCACAGCCCACCAGGCAGCATGATGGAGTAGAAAGAGCCCTACCCTGGCAGCCAGGAAACCTTGATTCTAGTTTTGTCTCTGCATCAAACGTGGTGCATAACTTTGGAAAAGCCATGTAGTCTCTCTGGGCCTCCATCTTGTCATTTGTACTTGAGGGCACTGAATAAGATGACAGATGATTCATCTCCCTTTTTCCTCTAACACTATAACATAAGGGTCCCATGCTTGGGCTCTGGCATGAGACAGATCTGAATTCAAATCCTCGATCTGTCATTTTATTAGGTAACTTTAAGTCTCAGTCTCCTCAGGTAATAATAGTATACTGCATTGAGTTGTTTGGAGAATTAAATGAGATACCGAGTGTTAAAAAAAAAAAAAAAAAAACTTGGAAGAGAACTTTGTAAATAGTAACTACTGCAGAAATGATAGCTATATCACGACTATTACTACCACTACTATGATGATGATGAGAATGGTGATTACTAATATTAGAGGGATCTCAAAGGAGGCAGAGTCATCTGAGCCAGGGATAGAGAAGCCCTTTCTACTAAACTACTGAAGTTGAGCATGTTGCAATTCCTCCAGCAGATCTAGACATTCAGGCAGGGCTAAGACAACCAGAGGCAAAGTCCACCCTTCCCAGAAGACAGGCCACAAGTGCTAGAGAAGAAAACTCCAACACTAAACCCATGTGGTTCTTTCCTCCAATCGACAAACATTTGTTGAGCACCTACTACGTGTCAGGAAATGTCCTACGCACTAGGAACACCACAATGAACACAAAGTCCTTGACCTCTCAGAGCTTGCATTCTAGAGGGGTAAAGAGACGAGATCCATCTTAAATGTTTCAATATATCATCGTATAATATAATATTAAATAATGATTCACCGATTAAAATTAAAGACAGTGTCATGGGCTGGAAAGCAGCCAGGAGGTTGGGGTAAGGGGACTATTTTAGAAAGCTGGTCAGGAAAGGTCTCTCTGAGGAGTATAATTTGAGGAACAACCTGCAGGAAAGGGCTGGGAGTGGGCCCCATCCATAGTCCCTGCCCCGAGCTCAGCATGGCCAACCTGCCCCGAGCCCAGCATGGCCACCTGTGGCTGGCCCAGCCACAGCACCGCACTTGCTTCATCCTCAGAGCAACAGAGCTGGCCCTCAAGGCTCAGAGCTGCAGCGCAACAGTTCTTCCCCCAGCAGGTCCCGGACCACAGCAGGAACCGGACCACAGCAGGAACCGGACCACAGCAGGTCCCAGACCACAGCCGACCACGGGCCAGCACATTTCTAGGCAGTGAGGTTTTAGAAGGAATGCTTCTTCTTTTGCAAGTCTCCTATCCACACCTGAGGGGTCATGTAAGGAGAACACGGCCGGGGGATACCAAGAACAATCTCTTCTCTGCATTGGGCACAATAATTTACCCCCAAGGCATCCTACTCCCCATTTATCCCCTTTCTCTGGCAATGACGTAACCCTGTCTCCCTAACTCCTCAGGGTCAGCCCCAAGAAGGGAGAGGGATGCTAGAAAGGTAAGACCATCAGCATTTTGCTCTGAGGATTTTGTGATTTTTTTCTTTTAGGCAAAATGTTTTCCAATTTCACTTATAATTACTAATAAAGAGAGACACACCTTCAGCTGAAGATGGGAAAATGGCGTCCGGTAGTTAAGGCAGCCAGAGCCCAGGAGAAAACAGGGGCTGGGCTGCTCTCACGGCCGAGGGTGATTTCAGCTCCTTCAGGCTGCAGCCTCCAACAAGGCCGAGCCGCCCAAGAGGTGGCTGATGCCAGGGGAGCAAGACCACCCTCCCGAGCTCAGCCCCAGGCTCTGTCAAGGCAGCAGGGAAAACCCTCAATTTCACCCACCTCATCCCCTTCTCCCCCTTCAATCTGTATCCGCCCACCAGTCATCCATGAGCCACCCACCCACGGGTTCGCTTGGTGGACGTGGGGATCTCATTTGAGGCTTCCTGCTGGAGGCAGGAGCAGTTTCTTCCCCTCTACCCTCCTCTCAACTACCTTGAGGACTCTTCCCCACTGACCATCCCTGCTTCTTGCCTTCCTTCCCCGTCACTACCACACCTGTCCAGAGCCACCGTATGAGGCTGGATACGCACATATCCAACAAACACAGCCACACCACACAAAGAGGCAGGCAGCCTCCTGCTTGAACCACACGCACAGTGTTGACAATCCTATGTTGTCCAATTGGAGGCACGCTGGTGCTTGACAAAACACAAACACCCTTCCAGTCCCCACCCGTAAACCAACACAAAGGCCACCAAGAATTTCAAGACCCAGAATCATCTGTAGAGAGGAGAACTGGGTCGGACAAAGACATTGTTCCATCCTCCCAACTAACCATCACAACTCTCTGGGATATTCTGCAGTGCCCTCTGGTTCGACACAGCCCACTGATCAGAGCTGTGCGTGTTGGTGTGTGTGAGAGAGTGTACACATGTGTATGGGGGAGGGGGCTGTGGCTCTACTGTCCAGGCATCAAATCTCCCCGGAGGTAACCCCGTCAGACTCTGCCTCCCCCACATAACCTTCCTCCAATGTACCGCAAACATATATTTCATGGATGGTTAAATTGGATCATTATCACTGGGTGCTTATTTGGTCAAAAAAAATTATTAATGTTATCTACCCCCATTCCAATCCCCTGCTTGTGAGGTCCCCTCCCACAAAGACTCTCCAACATGCTAATCCCATGAACTGCGACACACGACAGCTTTAGGGAAAGAATAATGGCGAGAAGAAAGAAGACCGCGGTTGCGGAGAGGAAAAGAGGCTCTAACGTGACCGCAGTCCCCATGCAAAGATGGGGGGAAGGAGCCATGGTGGAGGTAGAGTGGGGAAAGAGGTTAAGGGGAATGAAACCAAGCAAAATGAAGCCCTTGGCGCCTGTGTATGTGACAGAGACTGTGTGTGCAAGAGCGTATGCCAGTGTGTGTGTGGATGTGCCGACTTTGCCCTCCTATCAGAAGGCTGCATCCGTGTGGCATGTAGGAAAGGCCATCGCACGACTGTTGTGTTGCAAAAAAAAAAAAAAAGCAAGGAAAAAGGGAAAAAAGAGCCGCAGAGCCATCAAAATCAGAATTTTTTTCATGAAGATGGAAAGGGCTGGAGGAAGGGGGGGTGCGCCTAGGGTGGGGGGAGCAGTGTGTGGAAATAGAAGGCAAGATCATGGCAGAATTGGGGGAGGATGGAGGGGGAGATTGGTGGTGGGATGAAAAAATTTCACACACACACAGAGACACAAGCACACACAATGCCCAGACGCCAACCCGACCGCTCCACTGTTCATCCAAGACTGACAACCCGTCCCCCATCTCTCCGCTGCCTCTCCATGCCCCCAAAGCTGGTGCCGATGGATTTCTGTATCTCAGTTTTGCAGCAGTGGGCTAATTACGACCAAGCCCCCTCACCAAATTAACCCCTCCCTTCCCTCTCTCTTTTTTTTCTCTAAAAGGCCAATTGAAGAATAATGTGTTTTTATAGATAATGGATTTTTTTTCCAGGAGCGAGAGAAAGGGGGGTGCAGAATAGAAATTCTGCAAACCGGTGACTTCCAACCTCACCTCCGTCTCCCCCCACATCCCCGTTTGCTGTAGCATCTCATCTACCGTTCTCCCACCATTCTCTCATCCCCTACCACCCAAAAGAAAAGACCTTCCTACCATGCACATCGACAAACACACCAACCGCCACCCAATCTCAGTAGCCGATCTCAAAACCCCAAGCATCAGTCCACCTCAATACATCCTTTCCCTTATATAAGCAGCAAATCATCAACATAGTCAGGAGAAACGCAGCACTAAAATGAAATCAACAAAAACGGAGGCCAGAACGCCGTCAAAACCCCAATAATTAATAATAGGGAACTACCAGAGAAGCAAAGACGTAGCTGTCTCTCAAAATCTAGAATCCCTTTAATTTCTGCCCCCTCCTCTTCTCAAGAAGCAATTTTTTTTAAATTATTATTTCACTAGAAAGGGCCAGAAAGCTCCAGAAAAGGGCATTCGCACAGTCCGGTTGTTTTTAAAAAATAAACCCAGCCCTGTTGCTCACTTTAATAGCGAACTTCCAGTGTCCAGCCTTTTCCCCCCCTTCCAGAAGGAAGACTGACTCGCAGGATGAACCTCAGGCTGCAGAAAATGGGCCAAGAGCCCTTACTCCACTCCCCAACAACAACAAAAAATCAAACAATAGGAATATCTGCACAACCAGCACCCGTCTGAAATATCGTTTGCCCCATATGACTTAGGCAGATTAAGCCCGAAGATTAAAAAATAAATACCAGCCTTGCCTCCTCTCACTCCCCTCCATCCTTCCGCCACATACCCAGTAGCCCTTAGGTAAACTTGCCCATCATAACCAGCGGGACCATTTTAACTTGAAAGGCGATGCAGAAGCCCTTGAACGATGAAGGAAGGCTCTACCCAGAACGGCAAATTAATAAAGAGCCAGTTCTCCAGCCTCCCCAGACTAACCTCCAGGTGCCCCCAGATAGACTATCCTGGGTACCAAGTCACGCAGCGTGCTGGGAGTTCAAATTTCCACTGGAACCTTCATCACAAAGGCAAACGGTCATCTGACCCCCAAAATTACACCATCCTCCAGGTGTGACAAGGAGTGCCCCCTCTCCCTCCCAGGGCCATCCACAGGACCCAGCGGAGAGGAAGAAAGAAGAATGTTGGGGTGGCTTGTAGTGGTAAAAGAAAAACTATCTCCCCAAAGCGGGAACCGAAGGAAGCGGGGAGAAGACAGCTCTTGTCCTACCAGCTCTTTTATTTGCCCTGACTCTATCTTGCTCCATCCTAAGCTAGCTCTCAATGATCTCTGACCTTTGCATTAAAAAAAAAAGTATTAACAATAAAGATCAGAGAAGAGCAATCCTACTTTACCTAAACCCCAATAATGGTTAGCAAAAATATGATGTTCTCATTGCATGATGATATTTCTACATCCAAATTAAAAGAGGCAGACATTTAATGGAGGAAGGGAAAATTTTATTTTTTTTTAACAAGTAATCACAGGGTAAGTCACCTGCAAAGCAGCCGAGCCCTTAGGTTGGTATTACATCACTGGCCTAAGAAGGGATGGGGGGTGGGGGGACACATTTTTTTCCTTGTCATCAGGATGATGTTTCTAAAGCAGTTAAGTTTTGTGGTTAAAAAAGAGAGAGGGAAAGAGCTGAAACTCTGGGTACAGCACAATGCCTGGAAAAAACAATACATCGAACCAGGCTTTAAGGTCACTGAGAGCTTGCAAAACCCACAGTGCTTACACAGAGTGGAAGTTTTCAGGCAAGCCTGCTACTAAATCATTAATATAAACAAATGGAAGGCAGTGGAGGAAGATTCCCTTGTAACCGATCCAAACAGGAGCACACACCCGCGCACACACACACACACACACTCACACACACACTCCCTTTTCACCTTCTCCAAGTATGCCCACCTTCACAAGACAGGAGTCCAACCTGAATTTTTAGACTCTAGGACCACCTCCTCACACCCCCTCAAAAAAAAAAAAAAAAAGCACACACACACTCACATACACGTCAATTCCTCAACAGCTAGGGAAATCCCTGTCTCAATTCAATTTTGTTTTCTTGTGATCCTCAGAGTGTCCTTTCTGTTTCTCATTTTAACCAGCCCAAATAAATAAATGAATAAATGAGGGGGGAAGTGACTACAAAATGTCAAAAAAAAAGTATCTGCCCAAAATGAAGTGATGAGCACACATCATTTCAGACTAACAATTCAAGCAAATAGGAGAAAGACTCAAAAAAAAAAAAAAAAAAAGAAGAAGAAGATAAAAATCTAAAACATTCTCTGACTTTTCCAACATCTGGAGGAAAAGGACCCAACTTCCAGGAGAAACTGAAGGAAAAGAAAGGCAGTTGAAAAGCCATTTCCACAGTCAGCCAAGGCTCATGGATACAGTATTCAAAAAAGAAAATCTAGGTTGGTTGCTCCCAACTGAAAACTTCTACCCTCTCAGGAGCAACCTCTTCCCAGAACGGACAAGAACCTTGAGTTGTTTCATGCCCTGACTGCCTTCCTTTCCCCGCAAACCTTACCTTTCCAGTTGAACAGAAGATTTGGGATCTGTCTGTATGTCTGTTTGATGTTTAATCAACTGAGTTTGCTGGGTATGTTTCCTCTTTGGGTAGGTTCAAATTCCAGAATCTTTCTCTCTCCTTTTCCTTTCTCTCTGGGAGGGAGTGGCAGGGTAGAAGGGAGGGGTTGTTGGAGGTGCGAAAAGCAGGTCCTTGGTGGCTGGAGATGCCGAGGCTGAGAGAGGGGAGGACAGGTTGCCTCTCCCTCTCTGTGAGTTGCATGCAAGAGGCGATGTGTAGGGCTGAGCGCTGAGCCTGAGACTGCTGGAGGAGCCCAGGAATTTCACGCACTCCAGAGCCGGCCCCTCCCTCTCCCACACAGACCCCAGCATTTAAAGAGACAGACAGGCCGCCTGGCTCAGGGCTTCACCTCCTCCCTGACTGTTTTGCAAACAGCTGAGAAGATATCATGAGGGAGGGGCAGTTTGCAGCCCCCACAACTAAGAGGCAGTGTCTGAGCTCAGTTCTCCCCTTACTCCAGCCTGAGAGGAGAGTTCTTCCCTAGAATCAGAGTAGGAATTAATATAAAGACAAAATTCTTATTTACAGCTTCAGTAACCAAACCACTTCCCCACTGCTGAGGATGTGTGTGTCTCCTTGCAGACTGAGGGACTCTAACCTACAAGTGTGCCTCAGTTTCCCTGAGTAGTTGCTCTTCCTTGCAAAATCAGGGCAATCTTTGAGCATCTAGTGGAAGTCAGGGCTGTAACTAGGACACAAATCTATTCCTTCAACAAGCACTTTGAATGCCTGCTTAGGATGAAGCATACTGCAAGGGGCTGGGGACATAGAAATGAAAGTGACAAATGGGGCTTCCTCTCTCAGAGCCCCTAGCAGCAAAGACAGACCCAGGCACAGCCCATCCTATCCTAAGGGGCTGCCAGCTAAGGGTCAGAGGCCCGAATCAAGTGTTTTGGTGACTCAGGAAGATGGCTCTCTTTTGTGGCTTGCACTCTGAGCTCTGAGCCTAGACTGCACCCCTAAACCCTTGAAAATCCCTTGCCAGCCTTGACAAACTAGTTCATGTCTGTGGAAACGTTTCCCCAGTCAAACCTAAACAAGAGATGACAGTCGGTGGCACCCAATACAAAGGTTTTGCTCAGCATCAGGCCCTGGCACCTTATGTGAAAATGCAGCCCCAAACTCCTTTCTTCTCCAGCTCCCTTTTTAAGGGCTGCACTGGCATGTCCTCCCTTGGACCAGCACCAATCCACTAATAGCTGTTGAGCACTTACCATATGCCACTACGTGGGTCATCTCATTCAGTCCAGTGAGGTTTGTGCTATTTGACAGTTGAGATCCATTCCACAGTCTTAAAAGTTGAAGCTTTAGAGAGGGTGCCCAAGGTTACACAGCTGGAAGCTGCTAAGAATGAATTTGAACTCAAGTCTATCCCACTCCAGAGCCTGCCTGTTAGCCACAGTACTCTATTGCCTCCAGCCAAGGATGGTAGTTCTTATATTTCTGCCCTTTACTGGATGTTCTTGCAGCATCCTAGCACTTTCCTGACCCAGCAAACTTTAATAGCACATGTACCCGGCATCATGCTCATGAGAAACAAAATGAATCTATCAAGGTCTGAACCCCAAGGACTCCACTAAGCATTGGAGGAGGACAGAAATGTGTTTCTATAAAGCAAAGGGAAAATAATCATGAGAGCAATGTAAAGGAAGCTCTATGGGATTGTCGATAAGCAAGTGATTAATTGTGATTTGGAGGTGGGGGATATCAAGGCAAGCTTGGTGGACTAAAGTGGCATCTGGGCTGGGACTAGACGGACATATGCACTTCCATCATTACTAGCCTACTTTTCAGTCTATTTTGCCTTTCAGATCACAATCTCATTTTCTTATGTGTCTTCGGGTCTCCAGCCTTCAACACCTCCACGGTATCCAGTAGTTTTAGGAACACAAACGAACATGCCTTCATGGATTAATTTTATATGACATCTGACCTCCCACCTATTTACTCTAGACCTGAACTGCCCTGGCCACCAGTTCCATATCCTCCTTACCTGGCCTTCCTAGAAGTCTCTGTACCAAATTTGTCCACAGAATGTGGAAGGGAAGTTCAGAAGGCACAGTGCATGGGATTGCTCTAGATGTCAGGAGCTCCTGAGGGAAGAACCATGTAAAGGAGCCACCATGATCCAGCAGGACATCGGGAATAGCCAGGGAAACTGTACGCTCATCTCGGGGGCAGCAGGAAGAGACCTGAAGGACCTAAGGGATGAGAGGGCGGAAGCCTCAAGGGAGAGCCTGAGGACTCAGTGCCCTGCAGATGTCAGCGCCTGTGGGATTCCTGTGGCAAACACCAGCCTAGGAAGGACATCCCCGTGAGAAGTGCGTCTGCAGAACAGCCTAGAGGTTAAGGGACACGCCTGGATTCCAATCCTTTCTGGGCCACCTAAATTCCTTGTGATTTGAATAACTTTCTTTACCCTCTCCAAGTCTTAGCATCCTCACCTATAAAATGGAGGTAACACCTGTACTTACTTCACAGAGTTGTTTTGAGAAACAAGTAATAAAATACCCGTAGGATGCCTGCCCCACAGAAGTACTCAACAGATGTTCGCTACCCCAGCCCACAGGTCTGCATTTGCCCCTGCATGGGATTATTAACTTTGGACTGCCCCCTATAGTTGGCATTCCTTTATTTCAAGTTATTATATCCCTTTTAATAATTTAGCTTATTATTTAGGGTATCACTGTAGTCACTATTATTTACTTCATTTTACCCCCTTGATGTCTAACCTACTTTAACTTATATATTTTGAATATATTTGTTATTATCATTTTATTCTGCTTTGTACTTTCTTAGGCTCCTTAAGTGTTATTTATCTTTCAATTACTCCAGTTGTATCCTTTTAGTTTGCCTTTTATCATGAAATCTGTGGGCTTATTTTGTCTCATTCCTCCATACCATTTTAGTTAACTACCATTCGGCTCTTTCTAGTGATCCAGCATTCCCCAGATAGCTCCAAATTTGTGAAGATGGTTATGTACAAAATAGCAGGGAAAGACAACATCAAAGAGAGTAAGATGGGTCTCCTTGCAGACGTGTAATGCAACCATAAGCAAAAAGCAATATCAGTTGTTTGCCCAAATGATGGTGCCATGTCAGCAATGGTACTAATTTTTATTTTTTAAGGGAGGACTCAATGGGTACAACTGAAACCCTCAGAGACCCTAGGCCTTCTCAGCTCTCATCTCCGTCCTGGGATAAGGAGGGCCATTATCAGAGGTCATTAAGTTAGAAGGTTCTCTCACAGGCCTATCTTCCTTCCTTTGATTAGATTGTGGGGCTCCATCTTCACTCAGTTCAGGGACAGAACAGACCAGGGACTGTTTCAGCTTTTCTCAAATGTGCCAGACCAGTGCTTTCAGCATGTAGCAAGAAAAAATTTCACTACCAATCAAAAGAATACATTGCCCATGGCATTCTGAAAAAAAAAAAGTTATTTCAGTGATGATAATAACAATAATAATAACAACTGCTACCACAAGTTACCCCCTGCCAACCCTCTACTTAGAAGCATTATGGTTAAGATCCCAAGGCTCTGCAAACAGGACATCTGGATTCAAATCCCAGCTCCACCATTTTTTGGCCATGAGACCTCAGCCAAATTTTGAACATCTCAAGCCTCCACTTTCTCATCTATAAAATGGGAAAAATGGTATCAAATGCTTCCTGTGAGAATTGTATCAAAAGCACCGACAATAGTAAATGGCACCTGGGAAGTCCACAATGGAAAGTATTGGTCATTATTAACAGAGTGGAATTTAAAATATTTAATATCTGAGATGGTCCAGTCAGCAACCAATCAGATTGGAAGGTGACCAAGAGCAACTGGTTTGGCCTGACCAAGGTATACCAGCTACCAGCCTTGATTATTAGGACGTTTACCACCCGCCAGGTACTAAGTTAGGCATTTTTAGGCATTTGGCGTGCACTAATGCATTATCTCATTTAATCCTCACAGCAACTTGGTTTTATTATGTTATGTATTGAAATACATGCAATTGCACATTTATAAATAAGACTATGCCTATAAAATCAGAGTTCTGCATAAAAAGACTTGGCATATCCATTCCTGCCACCCTAATGACTCTTAGGATGTGAATTTCAAGGGTTGCTTTTTCTGGGACATTTTTAGCCTCATTACATAGGTTCCTTCTTTTACTTACTCATTCTTTCAATAACATTTGGGGTAAAAAATTACGGTCCATGTCTCAGTTTATTCATCCATTAAATGAGTGTTTCTATCTAAGTTCCCACTGCTCGACCCCAACCAAACCTGAGAACATCAGTCTTCTCCAGCCAAGACCAAGTCACTAGAAATCAGGCATTAGAGAGTTCTTCTAATCCCTCAGCTAGCACTTCAATTGAGTCAAACCCTCCAGGCTCCCAACCTGCCCCATAAGCTTGGATTTTTAGTCATTAAAGTCCACACATGCCTTATTCCTAAGCAGATTTCAAATTCAGCCCCCAGTGCTATTGGCCCAAAGCATTTTGCCTAAGGCCCCTTCAAACGTTCCTCATGCTCTTCTCTCCTCTCCTCCCCCAAGAGCTGTGCTGCAATGCTGGCCTGCTGGAGTTTATTTGGCTTTCTGTCACCTATGTGATGATGATTCCAGTGTTATTAATAGGTGACAGCTTATTAATTAGTATTATTAGACATGGGCCATGCAGTGCAGACAATACCACAGAGGGGCCTGGCATCCTTCAAGGAGAAGACTTGTACAAAAAGACTTGTCCCTGGGGCCCAGTGAAAGGACACAGGCCCAGCAGTGAGTCAACAGCAGTGCTTCCCAAATTCTAAAAGCCAGGCACCTAATCCAGACAACTGTGTCTGGCACGGGAAGGAGAGAGAAGCGAATGTGAGACTTACAGGCATGTGAGAACACGAGCCCAAAGAGAAGCCTGAGCACTCAGGCCTTAAGGAGGTCACCGCCCATGAAATGTTTCTCACTACAGGCATCCCTTCTACCAGGGTATCTGCTGCCCCCAAAGAGGCTGCAGGAAAGGCTAGCTCCTGGAAAGAGCAAGGGTCTCCAACTTCCAGTTCCAATGGGGAACTCTCTACCTTCGTGTTCCTATCCTGCTTATTCCATGGGAATAAAATAGTCTCAGGGGCTCACAGCCAGTAGAAGCCTCCCAGCCAACTCCCTGAATTCAGCAGCCTTTTGCCAGCCCTCCGCACAGGACTACCAACTCCAGCCTTGGGGAGAGCCAAGCTAGGAGGTAGCATGCCTGCCCAGTGGCTGCATCCTTCTCCCTGAGTGCTCAGGAGCAAGCAACTCATCTAGACTGATGGTGACAGAATATTTCACTAAGAAAACAACAAAAACAACAACAACAACTTTATGAGAAAAAAAATGAGGAGGAAACAATTTCTTCTCGGTAATAATTTTCAAAGCAATTCTAGAATTTCCTACTTGGAGATCAAATTTTAACATGGTCCAGGTATATTTGGAGTGTTTAATGGGCTTGAATGTTTGAGCAGCAAGGAGTTACCTATTAATACTTGATAACTGCTTTCAAAAAATTATTCATTTCTCCAGTCTATGGTGAAAGTTCTCATCTGTTTTCAATTTCATTTCTCCCAAGAAGTAGGTAAGAGCAGCCTGGGCTGGCACAACCATTCTTAGATTGAGTGCCGAGAGGGCAGAACCTACATTGCTGGAAGGAACAGCACAGTGTGATGGCAAAGGGCACAAGCTCCAGTTCCAGACCCTAAAGGCTGGAATCCAGATCTACCACCTACCGGCACTGGGACCCTAGGCAAGTTGCTTGACCTCTCTCTGCACCTCACTTCTCCCTTCTATGCAATGGGGATAATTATAGTACTTACTCATAGGATTGTTATCAGGATTAAATGAGCTAATATTTGTAAAGCATTCAGTTGATGTCATGGTGTAAGGGCTATATAAGTGTTTGTTCAATAAAACAATAAATAAAACAATTTCCCAAAGGCACTACTCTTTCAATTACTCCACTATCCTTACCCTTAATAAATCCCCCATCATAATGACAATGGTGATGCGCTGCTCCTGAAATATCTCAGGAACGTGGCAGGAAAGATGTTAACTCTGCTACTATTTGTGATGACCTTGCTGGTGTAGGTTCAACCAGGTCGGGTTCTGATGCCTTTGACCCATCTCCGCCTCCGCCTCTCCTTCCCATTGCCTCTCTCTCTCCCCCTGCTGGACAGCACTCATGCCAGCCCGACCCGTTCACATTCACTCAGCAGTGCCTGCTTAGCCTCAGGTGCAAGCACAGAAAGGCAGCCCCAGCAGTGGCAGCTTTGTGGAGGCCAAAACATACCCTAGACCCAGCCCTATCAACCATCCTCTGACCCATGCACTAAAACGATTTTTAAATTATATACTTTTGCCTGGTTGTGGGGGGTGGGGGGCAGAAAAAACCACCCTCCCCAGGATTCAAGCTGAAGATGGAATGATTGCCAAATGCTAACAGCTTTTCAAAGAGGACGTAGTTAAAAATATATCTGAAACGGTTTTAACTCAAACTCAAAAAATAGCTTAACTAACTGGGGAGCTGTAGGCAGTGGGGGTGGGGAAGTGGAAGAGGAAGAGGGATTCCCTTCTGAGGGGCCCACAGCAAACCTCACTACAGGGATACCTGAGGGATGCCTGGTTTGTTTTCCCTCATGAATAATACCTTTCAGAAGCACAGACCAGATCTCCAGGGAAAGGAGCAACACCAGAAGGCTTATTGCTGCTGCTCCATATGAGCAGATGCTCCTGATAAGGGCCACACTGTGTGGCTTCCTAGACCCTTAAAACTCAAAGTATGGCCACAGCAGCATTGCCTAAGAGCATGTGAGCAGGGCAGAATCTTGGTCCCCACCCCGGCAGACCTGCCAAACCAGAATCTGAATGTTAGCAAGTTGTCAGGAGATACAGATTCAAATTCTGATCCTATGCATACTACCCTGGACTTTATCGTGACACCTTAACCCTAAAAGGGCTGGACTTGCACGATTTCTCCCCATCTGACATGTGAGGTAACTGAGACACATGGAGAGACCCATCTAAGATCACCAGCTAAGTCAGGTCTAATGGTTATCATCCAGAGCCCTGCTCCATCTCCTAAGGCCCAAATTAGCCTTCATCATCAGCCCTACCCAAAGATAACAGAGAAGCTGTGATGTGTGTTTCCTAGGGGCGAAGGGCTTAGAACATAAGTCTATTGCTCAAAGCAACATTTCTCAAAGTATGTTCAGTAGATCATTATTCCCATCAGACACTCTGAGAAAAATAGTCTATCATCAAATGTACTTAGAAAATTCATAACATTAGGAATTTTAACATTAAAATTAATATATTTAAGTCTCTGAGATGTCCTCCAGCAAAGAAACCTGCATAACACTATTTACTCTTGAGTTTTTCAAACTTATTTCAACATTAAACTCTTTTTTCCCCACCAGGGACCTAATAGCATTAAGAAAAACATGATTTTTTTTATGTTCTGAGAAATAAATGTTGAGATTCACCAGTATTTCTCACTTAATCATTATATGCTCAACTAGTCTGCAGGAAAACATAATGTTTCTTAAAGGAAGAAGGTAGGGGTCAGGGGAGGAATTTTTTAATAACAACCCCCAAAATGTCATTATTCAATCTGTGATTGATCACTTCCTGCGACAGAAAGCTCACTACCTTACAAAGCAACTCAAGTCCTTGTTGGATGGTTCCAATATTTAGACACATTATTACACTAGGCTGAAATCATCCTCGTCATAACATCTTAGGCAACAATTGCCTAAAGTTTACCTTCACCACCAGTGTGTACAGGGAATTAATTCTTGTTTCTCACAGTTACCCATTACATATGACTCTGATAATAGCAGACTTCTAAGTCTATCCTCTTCTCTACAGTTCACACCTTCCAATTTTCTCAGGATCACCGAAGTTTAGAGCGTCAAAGTATTTTAGATATCATCTAATTTAACCCTTTTATTTAACAGATGAGGAAACCATGTCCAAGAGCAACCACATACTTTGCCCGAAGTCAGTGGAAACTTAACCTGGGAGGTGGGATTTAAATACAGTACGGTTCATTTTTTCTTTTCTTGGTAGGAGACCTTTCTTTCCCCACCAGAAATTTCTCAATGCCTGAGGTTCATATCTAACTTCCAAGGGCCATCACAGAAAACCACAGGACCTCCCACATTCTTCTCCTAGGAACCTTGTGAGATGCCACACTGGGGGCCAGATGAGTCACAGAGCTCAGCCAGCGTGGGGAGTTTTGTGTTCCAGCCTCTCTCCTCCTGGAGTGGCCGAGCTGGGACTGTTCTTCACCCCACGCTGCCTCCTCACCACCACTGCCATCTGCACCCTCCTTCTCCAGGATCACCATCTGCTTTCCTGATACCATTCAACCGCCCCAGCACTTTGCTCAGTTTCCTAGCCCACTTCTTGAGCCACTCTCCCTGCAACTTGTGAATTTCCTTTTCTTTTCCTTTTCCACCTTCACTTCCTCAGTCCACAATATCAAGAACTTGCATGTTTGTAGTCTCCCGCTTCCTCACTCCCTTTCATGTCAAGCCCCCACCAGCCTGGAAGTTCCACCAGAGCCCATTGCTTGGGCTGATATGTTGCCACTAGGCTATATGTGTCTGCCAAATAAATAAATGAGGCTCTTTCTTCCTGTCCCTTTTTTATCCCAGGGTGGCTTCCTATATACTGAAATATCATCATTTAAGCCCACTAGTCTCCGCCTTCCTACGAGAATACTGCTTTCCAGCAAAGGGGGCAAGGGCTGGATATACAGTAGGTGTTAGGTAAATGCAGACTGATATTACCAGGCCCCTAAGAAACATTCCTCTAAGCTAAAGATGATGGCTGCTTCTTTCCTCACTACAGAAATCTGCACTATAGGAAGACAGTGATCACATTTAGACAATCATGGTTATATCTAAAAGTTCTCAATAAATATGTGAGAAATTACTTTAAAAAAAAAGCTATGGGCACTTTTGAAGCTCGTGGCAATTTCAACTTGTTTGGTTCCTATTCTGTGCAAGACATTTCACATGTATTATCTCATTTAATACTCAAAAGAATTCTATACAGCTGGAAAAGGAGGCTCAGAGAAGGGATTTAGACCTCGAGCTTTCTGGCTTCCACATCTGTGCCTTTCCCTCTCCCTCCTGTAACCAAAAGTATTCATCAAAGGGGTCCAGCCCTATATCCTTCATCTCCTCATTTCCTTTACTAGATACCAGTTTGTTTCCTACTTCCTTTCTCCCCTTTCCTCATCAGTAGTTACTCTCTTCTCTGACCACTGCCTTCCATGTCTCCAGTCCTTTGAGAAGCTCTCCCTCCCAGACCTCCCATTCTTTACTCCCCATTGGATATGTAGTAAATGCAGACATCAGCAGACAGAATATTTGCACTAAAGGCTGCTCTGGAAGCAAACCAGAGTCCTATGTGAAGGGTAACTGTGAGAAACAGATTTCAGTGATTAATGCCCTATGCACATGGGTGATGAAAATAGATTTTAAACAATTGTTGACTAAGAAAACCTCAAAATATAAAAATCTGGCATGTAACTATGGGGACCAGGGAATCAACCTCTTCCCCCACCAAATGCTCTGATGCATCTGTTTCCAAACTCAAACTTAACTGGTTCAAGGCTTCTCTCTACTTTGCAGCCTCTAATAAATGAGTAAATGGGCACTATCAATGCCAGAAACTGAGATGAAAATTACCTAGAAGTCTAGAAAATCAACCAGACATGAATAAATCACCTTCTGAAGAATCCAAATATATCAAGAGCTTCACATTCTTAGTTTTTAAATATTAGCTCTCTATCTTGTTCTTCCATGCCCCATCACCTTGTCCACAATTAATCTTTAATTTATGTAACAAGTATAGTTCACTTTGAACACTGATGATCCCACTTCCCCTTAGAGCTCAGGCTTGAAGCACATGAGGAACATGCTGCTGGGTGTGGGTGAGACTGGTACAGTAGAGACTTGGGAAAAATACAAGATGTCCTTTTTATTTTCTGGAGAAGTCAAGGAAAATAGATGACAAGCTCATGGGTCAGACTGTCTTACTCTCCTAAGGCACACCCCATCCTCCTTCATGTCAATCTCCAATGTGATGTAAGAACAACTCCAGTGGAAGGGTGAGACATAGCAGATTCACAAATACAGACAGGAAGACCTCTTTACTTTGGCTCCCAAGAGTCTGTAGTCCTTGCTGATTGGAAGTGATCCCCTGACCAGATGTCTTTCATAGCCATGTGCTGAACTTTTCTCCGTTTATACTTGCTCTTGAAAAATCTATCCTGATTCAAAGGACTTTATTAACTCTTCCTCTCTCTCTCTCTCTCTGAATTTTTCTCCAAGTGTTTGCCAAACTATTCTTGGGCACGGTTTTATTTATTAATTATATCACATTCTGATTAGAGGGGATACGGCAGTAAACAAGACAGGCAAAGCTCCTGTTTTCACATACATTATATTCTAGTAGACATGATAGACAGAAAACAATAAAACACATAAACAAATGAGAAATTTTCAAATAGTGGTAACTGCCAGGAGGAAAACAAAATCATAAGATGTGGTGAAAAAATAGCTAGGGGAAAGAAGAGCCATTTTGCACTGGATGGTCAGAGAAGGCCTCACTGAAAAAAAAAAAAATTGACCTGAATCTTGACTGACAAGAAGAAGCATATCACGCAAGAATATTTTTTTTCAAGATGATAAGACAAATATTATTTGGTAAAATTCCAGCTAAAAGGTAAATAAAATTCCAGAAATAGCATTAAGGTGTGTCATTCTTAGAAGCTGGTCTATAAAATGAGGTGGGAGGCTGAGTGCGGTGGCTCATGCCTGTAATCCCAGCACTTTAGGAGGCTGAGGTGGGCAGATCACAAGGTCAGGAGATCGAGACCATCCTGGCTAACACAGTGAAACCCTGTCACTACTAAAAATACAAAAAAATTAGCCGGGCGTGGTGGCGGGCGCCTGCAGTCCCAGCTACTCAGGAGGCTGAGGCAGGAGAATGGCGTGAACCCGGGAGGCAGAGCTTGCAGTGAGCTGAGATCATGCCACTGCACTCCAGCCTGGGCGACAGAGTGAAGGCTCCGTCTCAAAAAAAAAAATGAGGTGGGAGACGTTTACTATAGGAAGAACATGAGAACAGGGGAGAGTCAAGGAACCAGCTTTTTTTTAGCCTCAGGAAACGTGTAACTACTTCCCAGAAAGTCATAATCTTCAATGTTTTATAGCATCATGTTTAAGAGAAGGGACTCTGAAAGCAAACTACCTAGTATCAAATTCTGGTTCTACTGCTTACTAACTATGTGACCTTTGGAAAGTTATTTAACTTCTCTGTGCATCATTTTCATGATCTGTAAAATAGTTATAATAATAATACTTACCTCATAACATTTTTGTGAGAATTAAATGATTTAATATATGTAAAGCACTCAGAACAAATCACAGAGAGTAATAAGTAATAATAATATATAAATATTATCATCTTTATTGTTAGATTCATCCTTCATGGACACTCATGCACACAACAACATCAGGCATTCTCCCAGATCACTACTCATGGCAATCATTACAAAGACCCCTGTGCAAATTGAGGGAGGCAGATCCCAGCAGGAAGCTGATTTCAGGCCTAAGCTTGAAGAGGTTTAAAAAACAGGCAGAAATGAAGAATCAGGGTGTGTAAAATTGTTAAAACCTCTGCTTCCTTTAGAACCCCCTCAAGGCACACAATGTACTAATAACACTCTGTACTAATAACACTCACATTTAGTTTATAGAAGCCACATAGGGAGGCCCAGCATTTCCAGGACTTTTTCCCAGGTCTCTTCTTGACTACAGTCACTATCTAAGGTCCAGCATTGTCAGTAACCAGATGTCAGTATTTGTCAGGGCAAAAAACAGCTCTCCTGGAGTCACAACTCATCTGATTCCTGTGTGAGTTATAAGTTTGCCCAAGGCTCAACTCCCAGCACATATCAGCCAGCATATTAAAGGTGCCTGACAAATGCCTGTGCAATAAATGAATTGTAGCTCTTTCATTATGTTTGTGCTTCAAGTGGACAATAATATAAAGCATCTACTTTTGCCCCTCACCACCAGGAAGAAAACCAAATGAAGCATTATAAAACAATCAGTTGGCATCATAGAATAAGAACAAATGTGAAAGTGGTCATTAGTTTGTACGATGGACATCCATCCAGCAAGCCCTCAAATGCTTGCTACTCTGGTTCCAACTCAACCCTCCTGTAGGGCAATAATGATCCTTAGAACTCTTGTGGGCAATTTCCCCTCAAATTTCCTGTGGAAGTGCATTGCTTCCAGCACCACGGAGAGCTCCCAGCAGCTGCCTTCTCCGTGGGGCCGGCTCCGTCTTCTCAGAACCACGGAGAACACCAGGAGACTCAGCAGGTGTACAGGATCTAACTGAAGTCTCCCAAAGTGCCCTAACGTCCAATAAATATCAAAAGAATCTACTATCCTGCAGCAGGGCTGGAGAGAGCGGGCCTGAAAGCAGCTGACTAATGATTGCAGCTTTTGTGCCAGATCAGCATTTTTATTCCCCCCAGCCCCCAGCAGTTAAATGCCCAAGGTGAATTCAAAAGCCGAAGTCCAAATTGTGATCAGATCAACTTGGCTGCGCCAGACAAAACTGATCTTATCTGAATGGTGACTTTATTCACTTTGGAGAGCAGAACTCATTACAATAATAAGGAGCGACAGAAATGGGAGGAAGAGCAATCACAGCAGATCCAGGGAAGAATTCACTTTACCATCATTTTGGAGGATTAATTCTAAGCTTCCCTTCTATAAACGTCATTCTTCACTCTAGCAGGAGGTCCAGGGTCTGAAATTATTCTAGCTGACTTGCAGAATGCATCACTTTGCACGTGATTTGCAATCCATTTCTGCTTCTTCCTACTAAGCTCAATGATATTTAATGGCCACTTGGCCTTCTGCATATCCTACTGAGCTGGTGTGAGGAGGTGCACACGCTGGAGGTCACATGGTGGGTCACAGGTGTTCACAAAGGTCTGAGTGTGTGTACATAAAGAAAACGGAGTGTGAGTGTACAAGCACAGAAGAGGTGTATGCACTCTCACAAAGAATAGAGCTGCTTTGCTGCAAGAGGGAGAGTAAAGAGGAAATGTGTTGAAGCAACTGTGTGTGCTTAAGATAATATATTATTTCTAGACCTGGTCCTCACTCTAGATCCCTACCTACTAGCCAGCTTAAGTGAGAAGATTATATAATTACCTGGAATCTTCTCATTGGGGATACTAATTATTTCGTCTCATTTCCCAAGCTACCTCCTAAATGCAAGTCCACTGCATTAACTGCCTTTTCTTGAACCTGCTACATACTTTCACACCTCCATGTTTTATTCATGCTGTTCCCTCATCCCCAAATTCCCTCCTACTTCCTCCTCTCCATCTCCTTACCCAATTAAAAATATATTTCTATTAAAAAGTATATTTCTATTAAAAAATGTGTTTCGAGGCCTAAATCAAAGTTCACTTCCTCACGGTGTTGTCTCTAACTCTCCCTCCATAATTACTCGTCTCTTTGTTCTCACAGCAAGCTATTTTTAACTCCTATTAGAGTTATTTGTTTGCATGTCTCTGTCTCTTCCTCTCTAGATTTTAAACTCCTTGAGAGCAGGGATTTTTCTTTTTAATCTTTGTATGTATCCCATCCTCATGCAGACAGTTTCTGGCTTATCACAGACACATCACAATACATTTTAAGTCAATAAATAATTGAATAAAACTTAACAATATAAAGCATAATATTTTCCTCTGTCACCTTTCACCTGAAATCTTGTATTCTGCAAATGGCCAAGGCTTTTCTTGTGCTGGTTTTCTCCACTAGCTTAACAATTAGGAAAGAAAGGAAAAGGAGTTGACCTGAAGTGTCTGGTGTCACTGGCTAAGACAAAGCTTTGCCATAAAACTAGAGCACACCTTGGTGGCTCTCACTTGTGCCATTGGTGACATGTGTCCAGCTAATTCTCAGGTTCTGGACCCTACTTTGGCCTGGAGGTGCTCACTTGGTATCTCCTACCCTTAGCAAACTTGTCTGAACTTGACTTCTAGCTTTTCAAGAGTTATATCTCCTACTCTTAGCAAACTTGTCTGAAATCTCCTACCCTTAGCAAACTTGTCTGAACTTGACTTCTAGCCTTTCAAGAGTTACGGTGTCTCCCTGATTTTACAAGTCCTAGCTATTCCTTCAAAATTCCTACTCTTACCTTCTAGCTATCTACCACCTCACTGAGCTTCAGGTGCTGAATCCTTCAAAGTACCTCTGTGCCACATGACAATGTATCATTCCAGAGTAACTATATGTGTGAGTGTAGACGTAAACATGACCAGACACAACATGTATATATTCAATTCCTTACACTCAGAACATCACTCTGAGTGCTATTATACAGAGGTCAGTGCACCCTCCCATTAGGAATGGCGCACTTCACAACTCCTCACAGAAAGAACACTGATAAACTTGATGTCAGAGAAATGCCTGCATCGCCTCCCTCATAACCTCTCTATCTAGGAGCAGTTGTCATTTCCCAGCACCTGCATCCTCTACATCCAGCACTCTCAGGATGGAGTCTGACCAATGGGAGGAGAAAGTGAAGGCTGCTGAGTCTCAGAGAGAGGCTGCCTCATCACTGGGATCCTACGAGAGAGGCTGGTGCTGGGATCTCTTTCCCAGATTCCCAGTGTCCCCATCCCATGCACCTCACATCACTGGTTTTTTCATGCATCCTTCTCCCCACCTCATCTTGTCCAGTTCTTTTCAGATTTCTCGGCTGAATTTTGGTGGATTATCACCTTCTTATCTTGCTTAGCTCACTGGAGTCTGCGTCCTTTGCTTTTCGTTTATCTACTTCCTGACTCTTGAACTCTAAGTGGGCTCTGTGTTCTGAGATAGCGCAAGATTCTTGCTTTTCCTGCCACCTACACTATGGCAAGATGAGAGGCATGCAGGGCACTTGAGATGAGAAGGAAGAGTGGGGGAAGGTAGCACTGTGCTTAATATGCCTAGTGTTCCATTACTGGAACACTAAGCATGTGGGAGTTATTTATATCCTACTGCTCAAGGTCATTGCCAAGGTCTGATTGCAAAAATTCAAAAAATTGCAACCCCAGGCATAAATAGGTTAACAGATGTAACAGTCCTGCATCCTGAATGATCAAGTCTCACTGCAATCACTTTCTAAGGACTTAGTGGTTAATTTGCATTATTCCAAGATCATTTCTCATTTTATTCACAGTAACTGCTGTTTCCTCTGGAACCAAAAGAGTTAAGAGAGGCAGCCCACATGTAGCATTATACTGAGTTTAAACTTAGCACTGCCTCTTCAAGCTCTGGGCCCTACCTATCTTGAGACTCAGTTTTCTCATCTGTAGAATGGAAATCATACTTAACTGAGGACTGCAATGACTATAAATCAGATGACCTAAGGCAATACAATACCAGGCACAGAGCAAAAACAGTGTGTTTTGAGCCCTGTGGTGCAGGCCTGCAGGACTTCTGTGGTTAGTGTGAACTTGCGGCAAGTGGGGGCAGCAGAGGGCCACTGGGGGAGTGGAGATAAGCCTAAGAGGCCTGGATCTTCAGAATCCTTGATTCCAAGGGACAGGTTCCAGGAGCAGACATATCGAGGTGAGTGGGATCCTCTAACAAGAAAATAGAGAAGAGAAACCAGGTAGGCAGAGGCCCAGGTAGGCACACACAGGTCTACCTGAGGTCAGTGGGTTGTGAGGTCAGATGTCTGGAATTCATGAGAGATTGGCAACACAGAGCCAGCTAGGCCAGCTGGAGAGCCTGGGGGTACCTGACAGAGGCCAAGAACCCTGCAGTCACAGAGATTTCCCCTTGAGTGCCTCCCAGAGCCACCATGCCATGGAAAACAGCTTTTTGTCAGCTCCAACACAGGCAGCCCACATCAGCAGAATCATTTTGTTGAGAGAGGTTGTTTTTTTTTTAACATATAATAATTTACACCCTTAGCCCAACTATAAAGGTTTAAGATTCTCTTGGGCTGACAATGCCCCTGTCTTAAGGCCCTTGCTAAAAAGCCCAACCTTTCAGCTTCCTTGTCTCATATTTTCCAGCTACAGAAATAAATCTCACGTGTCCTGGGGAAAGTGTCAAATATCTACCTCCAGACATCTGGACCCAAGTTGCATCACATATAAGAAGAGGGTGCTGGATCAGAACTCTTCCGCTTCTCAAACCACTAAGATTCAAAAGCTGAGAGTTTCTGATTTTCCTTCATTCACCTTGTGCTAAGCAGCAGCTCCACACTGAGCAATCTGCTTAGGAAATAACATTATGTTACTGCCAGGGACCCTCCATTGGCGGGGTGGGGGGTGAGCATCAGAGTAGTTCATCTGCCCCAACATTAGATCCTGGGGCTTCTTTTGTTTTTCATTTGTTTGCTTGTTTGTTGAGACAGGGTCTCATTCTGTCGCCCAGGCTGGAGTGCAGTGGCATGATCACGGCTTACTGCAGCCTCAACCTCCTGGGCTCAGTGGATCCTTCCACTTCAGCCTCCTGAGTAGCCAGGATTATAGGCACATGCCTGGCTAATGTTTGTATTTTTTGTAGAGACAGGGTTTCACCATGTTGTTCAGGATGTTCTCAAACTCTTGCCCACCTCGGCTTCCCAAAGTGCTGGGATTATAGGCATGAACCACTACTTCTGGCAAGGAAAGCTTTTTAAAAAGACTTATCTATGCCTAGGCCTCCATTACCAGGAATCTTTATTTTATATATATATATATTTTAGTCTGGTGTAGGACCAAGAATAATGGTTAAAATATCTACTGACCAGTAAGGCATGAGCCCCAACCACTCTGGGGCATGCTGGCAGGTACACCATACCTGCAAGTACAAATTGGGTGTCAACCTAGCCAAGCGGGGGTGGTTGGTCAAGCAGCCCAGGTGATTCTAATGTGCAGAGTGGTGAGACATTGGGTCAGACTTTGCCTCTGGGTAAATATCCAGTAACTGAGGCTCCTCCAGGCATGAAAGCAGTTTACAACTAAACCCACCTAAGAAGCTCTGTCTGCACTGACGAAGAAATCAAGATGGGGTTTTGGTCACGAGGCACACACACAAAGGATCATGTGGTCTTTGAGGGCAGGAACTATTTTGTCTTCCTCTTCGAAGACACACAGTGTCGCCGCCTCTCACAGTGCTTGGCACATAGGAGTTGAATGCATCTGATGAATGTATGATTGAATGAATGAATGGCACTGGCTTTCTCATGGGCTTCTGCCATGAGGCAAAATGACACACACACACACAGCCTCATGGAGAATGCATAACCTGTGTGCAAATGCTGCTCACACTTTCTGTAAAGAAGGATTTATTTTTATTGGATGAAGGGAAGGGGGTGCTGTTGTTCATTTTTCACATCAAATATTTCTGGGCAGTTTGCCCAGAAATCACTAAGCAGTTTGCAAGGAAATGGGGATTTCTTGTCTTTGTGTAACCACCCCACCTCTATCCCTCTTTTGGGTCCAGGAAAGCTTTCTGTGTGGGTGAGCTTTCAGAGGCACCAGCCAAACCCTGTGTTCTTGTCTCCAGAAGTTCTGGCGGGTGATTCAGCTCTCTCGGTCCCCTGGTATGTCCTTGGGCCTGCTGTCCCAGCCTGACCATGCTGGCCCTTTATCCTTGCTTCTCCTGCCAGACCCCCCACCCCCATCCCCGGCAGCACTGACCCATTTCTACCTTCTGCACCGTGGTGTAGGTCTCTGACTGAATTGTGGGGGTGGGGGGAGAGGAACAGACTGCCGTTTGGAATCTTAATGAGACCAAGTCCATTTCATGATGCTGTCATTTCATATTTCACCGCTATGATATGAAGGCTCAAGAGGCCCCAGAGCAACTTTCTGCTTTGCACGCAGGGTGCTGAGAGGCAGGAAGAAGGAGGGAAGTGGCTGACAGACGGCAGGAGACCACTCCCCCTTCATCAGCCTCCCTGCCCACACCAACACCAAAGTGGCAGAGGATGAGTCCTTTCCTTGGAGACTAAAAATGAGACCCAAATGCATGAAGCCAAGGAAGGAGTTTTCACCAGGTAAAAGAGGAGCCAAGATCAACGCCGGGCAGGAAGGGAGGAGCCACCCCCTCACTGCCAAGCTCTCGCATGTTCTCAAATACAAACAGAGCTGGCCTCGGGGCATCATAGAAATTGCTATTATAAATTCAGATGGTGCACCAGGGGGTGCCTCATTTTCTATTATTGTGGTTGGTCTCGTGAGCCACTCTGGCAATAGGATCTCAAAAGTGCAAGTGCTACCCCCGGGGGCACTGTTAGAAACACATTATTTTAAAGCACTGCAATAAAGCATGAACTCAAACAACTTCATTGAAATAAAGATTAATACGGAGCATGTGTTCCTCAGCCTCCTCCCACCCACACACCCCACAACTCATACCTTTTTCCCCACATAAACACCTGGGGATCAAGCTCCCTGGCCTATCTGCCTTGCCTACAGGTCAGGGCTTGATAGGATATAGGACACAGAACTTGAGTGACCATTAGGAGAAGAGGTGTAGGAAGGCCAGGCGGTGTCCAAGGCAAAATGTGCAGACACAAAGGGATCATCGTGCTGTGATTCCAGGCCCTTTAGCCTATGGGATGCAGTGGAAAGAGGCCTGGACTAGGAGTCAGGGGCCCTGGATTCTTGTCCAGGTCCAACTGTTAACTAGAGGCATTAACCTGAGCATATCATTTAACCTCTCACATCCCCAATTATGTTTTCTATAGTCCTAGTCTCCCTGTTTCACAAGATTTATGGGTGGGAGGCAGGGGATGAAACAAGATAAGGCAGGTAATATAAAATGTTGTGAAAACTAAGATGTGTCATCCCAACATAAGAGACGTGTCCTTTTCTCCAGGGTGTGGTTCAGGAGGAAGGGGCCTCAGCTCTCAGCCCACCACAGGGCTCAGATGCAACACCTTCTTCTAGCTCAGCAGAGCAGGGGACTGAGGGTGGGAAGGGAGGTATCCCCTACTGCTCAGAGCTGCCAGGGCTTGGAAGGGAATTGACAAAATGGGACACTCCAGGCTCTTTTCACACAGGCCCAGGAGATACAAGCAGGACAGTAGAACTAGACTAGTGAAAAAGAAAACCCAGTGACCCTCTGCTCACAAAGGCTTGGAGGAAGAGGATGTGGGCTCCGAAAGGGAAGCACTAAACAAAATAATCCTGCTGAAATTCATAACCTTCCCTTCAACCACAGAGCACTGAGCCCCTTCCTTATGTTCTCTAATCTCCATGGAGGGTAGGGAGTAAGAGAGTCTTCTACCCGTATAATAGGTGGGACACAGATGGCTTATCTAAGTCAGGAGGTAAAACCAGGACTAGGACACACAGATACTGGCCTCTAATCCAGACTCCTTTCCTTAGGACCCAGGTCTTGAAGAGGAATATTTAGAGGTAGCTCTCATTTAAGGAAAACTATTAATCAGATGGGGCTGTCTACAATCAATGAAAAGACATGAAGTAAAATTCATGCTGCAAGATCTGCCTTTTGTTCCAGGTTAAGAGAAGAGCTCAGGATCTTCCTTGAAGCCTTGTCCTGTTGTAGCTCAGCAAGACCATATGGGGGTGACTGGGAACACTGGAGACCCCTGGGGGTCCAGGGAGGAGAAAAATGATGAGGGTCTGGCAGCGGGGTTAGAATAGAGCACGCTGCAGTCACTACTGCTAGTGTCATGCAAGAGGAAAAAGGACTAATTAAAAGTGGGAGACAGATGCCCCAGTGGGTTTTGCATCTCTTTTGCTTTCTGTTTCTGGAAGGGAAAGAGGATTGTCATAAAAATAACTGAACTGACATCAAATATTTAAATTTCAGAAATGGAGGATAAAGGAAAAAAGTAAAATTGAAAGTGAGATTAAAATATTCTGTAAACAAGGCAGGAAGCCAGTCTGTGAGAGGAGGGCATTTTCGTCTCCAGCTTCGTGGGTGTCATGGCCATGCCACACCAACATGCTGCGTGCCGGATGTATCCAAGGAAAGGATGAACTTCATCTCTGAGGATTGGAGAGTTGAGGCAGCAAGCCCAGGTCACAGCGCCTATGTGGGCTGTGGAGCTTGGCTCTGTTTAGTGGGCCAGACTGTACTTGTCGCCCCAGCCCACTGCCTCTGAAATGCACATCACTGGCCATTAAGGGGACCAGGCAGAAATGTGGAGGAGGCAGTGAAGCCCAACTACAGCATCAGAAAGCCAGAGTGTGGGCCAGCCACAATATCTCTGCCTCCAAGGGCCGTGCATGGCTCAGCATGAAATCTTCAGTGAGACATGAGAAGAGGGAAGACAAGAAACACAAATTCAGGACCATGGTTGATAAAGAAGTGACTGAGTGAAACACAGATATACCCTCTCCATCCTTTCAGGGATGCATGAACTCTCCTCGCCACTGTAACCTGTGTTATGCTGGGATGGGGGAGGCAGCAGAGCAGAGTGGAGAACCAGTCTTGGAGCTGTAGTTATAGTTGTCTAGTCAAAACAAGCTGAGGGTCAGGAATGCAGATTTGGAGAGATGTGTGGGACTCGGAGCCTGAAATACAGGAAGGTGTGGAGTCCAGGCAGATGGACCAAGTACATTAAGATAAAATAAGCAGATGATAAGGCTGTAGCAGAGCTTCCACAGTGGACTCAGCCAGCATTTGTAACTGAACGGAGCAAGCCTGGGTTTTCAGGTTTGGGCAATTGATCCAGGGAGTTAGGAAGTGAGTGGAATGTTTGGTGAAGGTAAGACTACAGGGATCTAGAGGAAGGATGGGGGACATGGGATGTCAAGGAGCTTTTCTTACTGGAAGCTTGGAGAGAGGATAAAGGGACAGAAAATTAAACTTCCAACAGAAAGGCTGCTGTGGGAAACATGTGTCCCCATCCATGCAGTGTTCAAGTAGCATCTGAGTGGAGGAGATTTCCAACATCAAGGTGACAGCTGTCCTACATGAAAACTGAAGTTCCCATGACTCCATGACATTTCTCTTCCCCCTACCCACGCTACCACAATCTAACTCCCATACACACATATTGTTACCTTCCACCACTCCTGTCATCAAATTAATAGGAGAAACTGGTTGGATAATGGAAATGTTTCAAACATATATACAAGTCCACTGAAATGCAAGGAAGTGTTCTATCAAATAAAAACTGAGACCTGCCATAGTCCAAAAGCCAGAACCTAAGACTGTTTTTTTCCTCTGGATTATAACCATCTGGGTGTTGCCACAGAGTTCTTATGCCCTCCCGGGGGGACAAGACATTCTGGTCAGCATCTCTTTGGCTATAAGGGGCTCCCCTTCTGATATATGAGCTCTGTAGCTCAGAGCTCAAAGGGAACTGTGGGGTTCCTGGTACTTGTCTGCCCAGTAGCACTGCCACCCTACCTCCCATCATGTCTCCTAAATAAGCTCAATTTTGTTCCAATATCAAGCAACCACAGCTTTATGAAAGGCTAACCCCAGCCCCAGAGAATGAATTTTGATCAGTCCAAGCCAATGTGGTCATTCCATTCCTCTTCCTAGTGATTGGTTTAGAAAGGGGCAGGTGATGCCTTTCTGACCAATGAGACTTGAAAGAGAAACCTGGGCTTCTGGGAAACTTTTTCCTTCCTCTTCAAAATAGCCATGTAGCATATCTTCATGTGATGCCATCTTTAAACCACCTTGGGACCGTGAGGAGAAGTCAGCCTAACAGGATAAGCCTAAACTCAAAGGATGGCAGAGTAGAATGAGAGAAAGAATTTGGAAGCATGTTGGAGCCACAGATTTCACTAACTCTGGTTTGCCTATATAGACTTCTTGTTCTTGGAAATGGCATAATATTTACCTTATTATTAAAGCCATTTTTCTTTGAGTCTTATGTTACCTACAACTCAAAGCATGCTCATTGATAGCCATGCCATACTGCTCTCACCTTTAGGGCCTTTGCACATGCTTTTCATTCCATCTGGGCTCTTTTTCCTCCCAATCACTCCTCTACCTGGATAGTGCTTACTCATCTCTCAGGTTTCAGCATAGATATAGGCTGCTCCAGGAAGCCATCCCTGACCTTCTCGCTTCTGCTCTCCCAGCATCCTGTACTTCACCTCTCACAGTGCTTATCCCACTGTTTGACCCTACCCTTCCCTAAGCTGTAAGTTCCATGAGGACTGGGACAGTAAAGGTTTTGTTGACTGTTCTATCCCAAGTCTAGCATACAGTAGTCACTCAACGATTTTATTCATTCGACAGATAATAATAGTGGTTAACACTTAATAAGCACTTTATATGAACGAAGTTCTATTCTAAACATCTTAATCTTCACAACAACCAATGAAGTGAGAAAACAGACACACAGTGGTTGAGTCACTTGCCCAGGGTCACACAGCTAGAGAGTGGCTAAGCCAGGATTTTAACACAGGTGGTCTACCTCCACCACGAAATACAAAACAATTATTGAGCACCTACCACATCCGAGGCATAGCTCTAGGTGCCGGAAATACAGTATGACCAGACAAAGTTCCTGCCTTTGAGGTGCTTCCATTTGAATGGGAGGAGATGATAATAAGTAAGCAAATACATGCATACATATATTGAATGGATGAGTGAGCAACGGGCAATGCATGATGTAAAGTAAAGCAGTGTGGAATACACACTGGCCTTGAAGTCTCCAGACTTAGATTTAAACCCTGCCTCCTCCATTACACGATAATATGACCTTGGGCCAGTTACTAACCCCCTCTGAACCTCAATTCCATCAGTCAGCTGTAAATTGGAATAAAATGAGGATACTTGTAAAACAGGCTTTCACCTTCTCTGCTACATACTAGGGCTTTAATAAAATGTTACTTGAATCTGGATCCCCACAAAGTATGAGCCTCATGAAGAGAAACAAGATGAGTCTTAGAATTGGAGAACTGGCTGAGAGAATCTACAGAAAATCTAATTGGTAAATTAGAAAAGGGTAATTTATCTTCCTGGACTAGAAGGACTCCAGAGCCAAGCCAACGCCTGACTCCCATTTTCCCCAAACATCTACATCTACGTCTGTTTGAGACAAAATAGGGATTGGCAAGGTTGGGGACAAGATATTAATTTCTGGTGTTAAATCACCACTCATGATACGGAAGAGGCTACCAATACATTTGCATTAATAAGCCCCGTCTGGCCTGCTAGGATCTCAGTAACTGTCCAGAAGGCCAGCAAGGAGACCATCATCAGCGCAACAGACCCTGGCTGGTGGATGGTGACAAGAAAGTTTAGAGTCCTGATTCTGATACATTCTGCCTTCTATTATAAAGTAACCCTAATTGCATTTAATTATTAATGCATATTAATCAACTTATTGGAAACTTCATTATTTCAGAATGGGTAAATTGTAAAGTACTTAACGGGTCCTAGTTGAAAACTGCAGCCCCCTTGAGCTCATCTGTTTGACTGCCTCAGGACAAGGAATACCAGAGCTTTATACAAAGTAGAGGAGCACTAACCCCAGCTAACAATCATGAGGTAAGGAGCAGTCTTAACTATCAGACTAACATCCATGCCAGGCTAAGAAAGTTTCAGGATCCTGCCAAAATTGGCTTTCAAAAAAGTAAAGATCCTATTAATACCTGGCCACCATACCATTTAAAACACAGAAGCTCAAGACTTTGGGAGAAAATATCCTGACTTGCTTCCAGTGACTGAATACATGTTCCTTTAAATACAGAAGCTTTATATCTAAAAGAGTGCCTTCTTCAAATTATTCACCTTTGAAATCATACACTTAAGCCAATGATATACCATGGCTTAAAACATTCATGGAACTCTGCTTTTGGATATAGCATTAAGTCAGATTGATCCACCCAACAGAACTAGATTTGTTATTCTACAGTCACTTGAGTCTGTTTGTTTTCCCAAAACATATTAGCTAGTTTGATAACAGAGATACCTTGGCTTGGCTCTAAATGACTCCGACTATTTCCAAATATAAAATCCACCCCCTTAAAGAAAAATATCTGGACCACTGAGAATGTTCAAAGCAATGTGCCACAACATGTTGGTAAGCAGCCTAAATAACAAATAAGAAGCCGATATAAAGATTATTGCCCCCAATTCAACGAATAAACATACATATGTAACCACATGTGTATTTACATCCATATTTGCAGATTCACAAAAAATTACCAGAAAGGTATACATGCATTTTGATGGAGGTCTTCTCAGGAAACCAAAATTATGGATAATTTATTTTTTAATTGTGTTTTCCTATACTTTCCAAACTTTTTGCAACAAACCTGTATAACTTTTGTCATCAGGAAAAAAACACAATAAATATTTTATAAATATATTTTCAATGTGCCACAGACCCTGAAGGCAACTTGAAATCAGAAGTTATAACAATGCTTGGCTCAGGAAAGCGCCAATGGATTAAATGCATTGCTTTCCATGCTATCACTTTTGAAGGGCACAACCCTCATTTAGAGGTACAACTTCTATTACGTTTGTTTTTTTAAAAAAAATCGCTCTCCATTAACTTAAGGCCATATCGTATAATGTCATTCCATCTGTGCCAGTGGCAAGTAAGCATTGTAATGAAGACCTTCGGGTACATGCAGTCACTAACCCCAGTGGACAGAGCCCAAGACAGACCTGCACTGTACCAAATGCCATCCCACTACACAGGGTCGTGGTCCAGAGCAAGGCCCCTGTGAATTTCTCTTGAAAAACCCTACACCACACTTGAGAAACCTTTCTAAAGGAGAAGAGAATAAAGGCATGACCCCATCTGAAATGTAATTTCTTATGTTCTCTTTCACAAGATCTCCAAGAGTATTGGCAAGAAACAGCAATAACAATAACAGTGGTTGGAGTGGCAGGGCAGTCCCCAGTGCTTCAGGTACTATATGCAAATAGGAATTTCTGCTCCTTTTTCAGGGACCAATTGCCCCAGGCCCAAATTGCTTTATGATGTCACAGTTGATGCTCACCGAAAATGGGAGGGTAAAATGCAGTGAGATAGAGCCACACTGGCAAGAAAGAGGCAAGGTTCTTGCAATAAGGAAAATTGGAGAAATTGGATTCCCGAAATGGGTTCTGAAGATTTCCACCAAATCACATTTTTTTACAGGAACCAAATTTTCCCTTTCTTGGTGCCTCACATTTACCCAATTCATGACATTATCTCTTCTAATCTTTCTGATGTGGAATCACCAAGAATATTCAATAACAATGACAACAAAGTTGTGCATGCTACTTAGAAAAAAGGGAAAAGAGGAAAGAAAGTGATCATTACCATGACTTGTAGAATGACCTGCGTGGTTTTGGCCAACTGAAACTTAGAGGTACCTCCTTCTTACGTGATAGAACCCAGAAGCAGCTTAGATGAGCTGAGGAGTCAGGGAGGGGATGGGCAGAAGGAAGCCAACAGAAATGGTTGAATTGCATCTGTCAATTATTTTTAACTATAAAAACTTTTAACAAAAGCCTAAGATTCCAGAGAAAACCATAGGGTTGGTGGCAGTGGGCGGGGAGGGACTCCCCACCCCCACCACCACCAAGGGATACAGAAACTACCTGGCATCACTATATGTTGGCTGACAAGGTGAACCCTAAAAGGGGGATATGTAATTTTGCTGTATATAGACTATACCTGACATTTAAAAAAGAGGACACCCAAATGCAGAGTGTAGAAATTTTTCTATAGAATTCTGCCCCCTCCCCATGTAACCAGCTCCTAGTAATGAACAGCAAGGTGCATGGGGGAACCCCACTCTGGGCTTCTCCGGCTTCACAGAGATGGTGAGTGTCACAGAATCCTCTATGAGGATTCCCTTTCCAGTTGGCCTAGGTATTGGGACGCTCTGACAGAGCCTTGAAGCCACTAAATGTCTTCCTTGGCAATAAAAGCCTCCCTACTGTGAAACATCTTTAAACTGCTCTGCACCTCTCAAAAACAGACTCCTGAAAGGTACCACTGTGCATCTGTAATGATGTAAAAGAGAAATACTTTCCTTGCCAAGGAGCTAATCATTCAATCACCACCTAACCTTTTAAAAATGAATTCATCCACACTTCACTGGGCTACCTGTCTATCTAAAAATCAGGACAGCATCATGGGATGTGCCTGATAATAGTTCAACAGATGGTAGAACTTTAAATATGGAAAACAATCAACCAATCAACAAAGCAATGAAGTTTCTGAGCATATGTTCTTTAGACACATAGTACTAGACACTGGAGGAGACCAAGTGTGAGGGAGAGGTTCTGCCTTTACTAACTTTTTGGTCACTCCTGGTGAGATAACTTACTCATTAAACACTGAATACTTTAATAGTTTGACAGTTTATAATCACTTTCACATAAATTAATTCAACCCTTCCTACATACCTATGAAGGGTGTGTTAATCACCCTGTCTCATCATTATGTAATCTAAAATGAGGGTATAAGCAGTGTCACACATAGGATACGATGATGGGCAAATGCATAATGTAATTCATGTTATGGGCTTGCGTTTCACAAAGGAAACAGAGATCTAAGCTTTAAAGGTGTAAAGTATCTAGGTAAAAGTAAAGAGAAATAAGGGCACTTATGGCAGACAGAGTGGTGTGAGCAAAGGCACAGTTACATAATCATAGCAAGAGAATCAATCACTGAGCAACAGAAGACCGTGGCCCTGGAGAGAATGCAAGGCTCATGGTCATTTTTAATCCCATACAATGACCCAGAATGAATGCCAGAAAAAAATGGAAGAATGCACTAGATGTAAGAGTCCTTGGCAAAACGATTCTCCAACTTTATCTAGATATATATGACAGTCCCATGTGATACCACATAGAAAATGATGATCAAACTAGGTTTCACAGAGATGAGTGGCTATCAAAAGGGATGTTTAGAGAGAGACATCTGGGTCCTGAGTCATGGTCCTGAGTCATCGCTACACGTCCAACACCGCTGACTGGCTTAATCATTCTTAGCTACCCCTTTCTTCTTCCCTCTGCCAAAAAAAAAAAAAAGAAAAAGAAAAAGAAAAAAAAGAGAAAGAAAAAAAGAGAAAACTAAAGACAATTCTAAGTTTGTGTGTATATTGTGTAGTTTAATTATCATTCTGAAAGTCCTCGAAAAGTTTCTCATGAAAAACATCACTGTAGTGTGAAATGATGTCATTACCAGTCATTACCAAAATCTAGAATATTCTTGCATTCCTATAGTAAAGAATTTATAATCTGTTCTCTGGATCTTTCTAAACAGGTGGTTAGACCCAGTTGGTAAACAAAGAAAAAAATGGAAGGTTTAAAATAAATTATAATATTTCACTCTGACACATCATTCGCTGAATTCAAGCTTTGTCCAAACTGCATTAAACCAGAACGTAAGACAGTGTCTCCACCCATTGCGAAATTTTATGTCAGTTGTTTCAGAGCTGTGTGCCGTTCTCTTCTCCATGGTCTGAACTTAATGGCCAGACATTTATCAGTGTCCTTTCAGTAAGCAAACATCACTTATTCCATATTATATGCTGCTTAGGCTGCACCACAGAGGCAGCCTGAAAATGCCTTGGCAGCACGGCTTCTGCATTTCCCTGGAGGAGTTAAGCCTTAAGCAGGCATCTTATCCAGATGTATCTTCCCCTCCAGACTGAGTCTTATCACCACCTCAGTCACCCTCTTAACCTTCTTCTGAGAAATGAAGACTGGGGGCCAGAAAGCAAGATTGAATAGTGCCCTCCCAGACTCCTGCACAAGCGCATCTTTCTTCTACAGTTGCATTTTCTGAAAGGTTGGGAACATGTAGATGTTCCAACCTGAGGGATCCTATTATGGAATCTTCAAAGGAATAAAATGAATATCATGGTTCCTTATGTAGGACAATATTGCAAAGTTCAAAATATGCTTGCATCCAGATGACTAGATAGGACATATCTGTGTCATTTGTGCATATGCGAATAGTTTTAAAAGAATGGCAGCATTGTGACTGAGGCTTCCACTTCCTATTATCCTGTCCATGGTAATATAAGCTTCTTCCTTCAAGGAGAGACGCTACTCAACTATAGGAATATGCTCCAAGTAATTAAAGGTAACTCCATTGCTCAGCCTCCTTCCTTTCAGAGATTACCAGAAAGAGTGCGGAAAGCAAAATGGACCCCACGACCTTCTGAAAAGGATGACCACTAAGCAGGTCTTAACACTGTCTACAAGAGAGTCCTTATGTTTTGGAACATTTGAGATTTACAGGAAGCCACATTGGTTTAGAAGTGAAGACTCTCATCTCTAGGAAAATGAATTCTAGTGACCTATTTAGGTGGGAGGCATGGTAAGGATTAAATGCTTAATATTTATCGAGCACCTGCAGTGATCTATGTCCTGTTCAGAACATAGCAGAGGAGGCATAACTTCTCTTTCAATCAGGTTAATGAGGAATTGATTTTTGAAACTTTTTAAAAACACAAAGTATGATGCCAATGTTAAACACCAATCACATTGGGACTGGTGCTCACCTAGGCAGCTGCCTAATATGGAAGGAAAATGTGGCCAATCAATAGCAGATCTATACCTCTTTCCCAGTGTGGTATTAGAGTGTTTTCACCCTCGGCAGCATGTACAAAGGTGCACCATCCCTTTGCTCAAAACTGTGTTAGGAATCAAAAGGGAATTCAGCTTCTTACTATAAGTAAATGGGTCCCCTTTACAATCAAGAGATGGGGCTCAGACAAAATCTAGATAGGATACATACACTGGGCAACAAGCAAAAGGCTCTCTTGGAGCCTTTTGCAAAATGCATATCATGGTTTCTCAAGACAACTGAGCCACCTGGTGTTAGAAAGTTAACAGCCAAAGCACCTTTCTCTCTCCCTTCCTCAGAAGGCAAATGAAGACTTTCTCAAATGTCCCTCAGTACAGTGGAAGCCAACATCCTCGACAATGAAGGTGGATTCAGCATTAAGTTTCTCGACTCCAAACATCCCAAATAATGGTCTGGGAAGCACTCAGGGGCACACCCTGTGTTGTGTTGGTCTAATTTGGATTGTGCAGACAAGTTTGAATCCATCACTGTCTAGATGAGACACATTCATATTGGCAATAGCAAAATTACTACTAGCTACCATTTACTGAGGACTTACTGTGTGCCAGACCTGGTGTCAGGCACCTTACCTACCATATTTCATTTAATCCTCACAACAACCCTGTGGTGGATGTATTATTATCACCATTGTACAGATGAGAAATTGAGGGTCAGAGAGAAATGAGTTGTCCAGCTGGTAAGTGTTAGCATTGGAATTCCAATCTCAGGGCATGAGATCTCAAGTTTCCTTAATCACTCTACTATTCTGCCTTTCACAGTTATAGCTACCATCTACTAAACACGTACTTACATGCCATGTTTAATGATGGGCAGATGATACATGTCATCTCATAATGTAGTACGGAGAGTAATTCAGCAACTGTTTAGTCTACTGAGGACTGACCTTATATACTTTGCCAAGATGTTTTCTAAGTAGAAAGGAAACAAAGGTCACTGCTCCCAAGAAGGTTGTCATTCTTCCTACTGACCCAAAGTGAATCCTAAGACAGCACCATGATGGGTTTTCCTATTGGGATAATAATGCAGCAAGAACTCACTGAGATACATAAATAGCAACTCTGTCTGAATCCATTTTTAAAAGTCTGAATTATAAAACGTTTTTAAAGAAATATAATTTTTTCACTTTTAGAAAAAACGTAAAACTAGACTAAGGTAATGATGCATTGCCAAGTAAAACTCCTGAATAGCTAAGAAAAATTCTATTTATCATTCCTCTTACTTTTGCAAAATAAAAGTGTTTTTCTAGTGCCTGCAAACAGTTGATTCTCTTAAGAAGATGAAAGAGCTCCTCTGGAATCCAACTGTTGCCGGAATGATGACAAACTCTAAATTAGTGGTTCCCCAGGAGGATCTATATTAGTGAATACATATTTTATCTCAGATTTACTTTTTTAAATAGCTCTTTTTCAAGGAATGCAAATAGTTTTAGCCCATCATCTCATTTACTTTTATATAATAAAGTAGGATAAGTTGTGATCCATAGGTGAAGTTGCATCTCCCAGGTGACACACTAAACTGAAATTAGAATCCAAACCTGGCGATTGGGCCTCTTGGGTCAGACTTGTTCTTTCTTCCGTTTCTTTTCTACCTGCTGTGGTGAATTATGCCCATCCCTTGCCTTGACGAGTGAAATCTAGAACTCCTTAGTCTAATTGTTTGTGTTTTTGTGCATAAATTAGCAGTTAATAATTTTTAATAACTATATGTTAATAATAATTAATTATGTTTAACAATAATAGAGGTTAGTCAAGGAGGAAGACTATACCCAGCCAGAGAGGAAGAAAATGGAGAAAGAAAGAGATTTGTTTATTTGTTGTTTGTTCATCTATCTGTCTGTTTTTAAGTTTAGAAGAAACAAGCAGACCATGGCATGTGCCAGAACTGCTAGAAATTTCCCCATTCTAGTCTCTTTTCTCCTCCTCACTACAAAACTTCAATTTTGTTCAGGGCTACAATATACTCAGCTGGAAACATTTATTTTCCCAGACCTTCATATAAAGGAGCAGTCATATGGCCCAACTCTGGCCACTGAGACAAAAGCAGAAGTCTATCAGGGATTTCTGAGGAAAACTTCTGTTTTTTGTTGTTGTTTTTTTTCAATACTGGCACCTTCTCTTCTTTCCTCCTTCCTCCTTCTTTCTGCTGGGGGCATGATCACAACTCCTGGAGGCACAGCAACCATCTTGTAGTCATGAGGATGAAAGTCACATACTATGAACGACAAAGCCGGAAAAAATGGAAGAAGCCATGGTATTGGATGACAACCATGGGCATCTACACCAGCCATGAACAGCCCCATCCATCACCTCCGGGCTTCTCTGTGTAAACAGAAATAGCCCACTTCATTTCATTCATCATAATCAGAACTTCTATTATTTGCCATCAGAGAGATTTGGAGGGTACACTAAACAAGGTAACCAAGACTTGGGATGTTTAGAGCTGAACACACTATAGAGGTCATCTAACAGAAATGCTTCTTTGAGCAAATGAGGAAAGCAAGGCTGACTAGAGAAGGGAAATTCCTCAGGTTACAGTCATTCTTAACCCCTCTCAGTCCACTGTTCTTTCTACCATTCCACATTGCCTGCCCTGAAGAGTTAGAGTTTGGAATGAACTGCAAAGAGAACTGTCTCTTGGGTAGCCAGATAAAAGTCAACTCTGGGTGAGAATAGGCCAGACTCAGTAGCTGGACAGAGACGTATTCAAAAACTCTATTAGAATAGTCCTTTCTCTTACAGACAAGCACTCATGGACCTCTATAACTAGAAGTCGGAAACAACTGTTAATTAAATTATTTTAGCAGTCTTCCCAGGGTAAGCTAGAAATTGTGTTGATTTTATTCTTCTTTAATATAAAGTGGAAAATTTCCCACTTCTTATTTGAGAAAAATTGATCAAAAGACAGTTCTTTGTCTGTGTAGTGTATACAGTCTCTGTACAGAGCCTTCCCTATCTCTAGAGGCTCAAGGCATCCACTCTGGAGCCAGATGCCTGGGTTCAAATCCCAGGTCCACCACTTACCAGATGTATGACCTTAGGTAAGTTACATAACTTCTCTGCACTTCCTTTTTGTCACCTATGAAAGGTGTATGTGGTAGTAATACTTACTAATAAGGTTGTCGTGAACAATAACTGAATTAATCTATGTAAAGTGTTTAGAAATGTACATAGACACACATAGACATACATGTATGTTATCATTATTGTGATAGCCATGATCACATGAAATGGAAAACTAAGAAAAGGAAAGCCCAAGTCTCCAGGGATATTTTAGCAAACTGAGAACAAAAGCACCCATATGAATGACTTTCTAATCTGAAGGACCTGACCAAAGATTTGTTAAATGAATGAATGAATACCATCAGCCAAAAAAAGCTACAACAGTTTTTAGTGCTTAACAGGCCTGATGTCCCAGATTCCTATAAATCTCAGGTAAGACACCCAAGAGTAACAGAGAAGACAAAAATTTTAGTCGAAGTTTGCAAATATGGTTAAGATTACTTTAGCTACAAATTACTATTAGTGAATAGTAAGAAAATATGTAATTGTACTTCTGGCTTATGTTTCTTTTGTGATCTGCTAGAAAAATACAGTGTTTACATTAGTTTTAATAATAAAATTATATTTTTCCTTTTAAAAGAGATGGAATGACTATAAATCTGTACTTGGAGGCTTAGTAGCTCCAGTGAGAATGGAAGGACATATGTAGCACCTGGGCTCAGAAGACTGAGTCCTGACATCTTACTGCCATTTGGTGGACACTCACAAGGACAATGAGGGCAGGAGACTAAGATCAGAATTCTAGGCACTGGGTATTGCTATGTGAGCTTGGGCAAGTCATGTGACCTGTTTGGGTCTGTTTCTGACAAGAAAAATGAGGGACTTGAATTCTATCATTACCAAGGTTTCTTTAAGTCAAGTGATTCTAAGAAATCCTCTATTGGGATAAAATTAAAAGTTATAGGATATAAATTGTGAAAAATGTCACAGATATAAAGCCAAATAATATCAATAAGGTTATCCTTGAGACCCTGACAAACTTGGACTGTTTTACCTACTTTTAATGTACCTATCGCTATTAACTTGCGTTTAGTTTCTACCATGATTATCAACTTCTTCTTGCAGAAAATGGTGTCTTTTGCATTTAAAATATCTAAGCTATTGCAATGACCTGGTATGGGGCCAGGGAAGACGGCACATCTCCAAGACCATACTCCCCAGAAGGAAAAATAAGGCAGAGAGAAGTGATTAGAAAGACCTGCAAGATGGAAATTAAAAGTGTGCACAAAACTTCTATCAGAGAAACCACAGTGAATGCCACATCAATGCTGGAGGCAAGAGCGAACTTACAAGACAAAGTCAAGTTGCTTGCTGTAGAAAACATCTGTTGCTGCCCCAGCATCTATTCCCACTTCGCCTTTCCCAACATTGTTGAGAATTTTAGAGCCAAGCAATTTGGCATGGTTGACTCAACCTCCAGCAATGGGAGTTGAGTCCTGATTGGTCTAAGCCATTCTATGTAGCCCATGGCTACAGTGATTGGTTGAGGAAAGGGTACATGATCAAAATCAAGCCAATTAGGGCTAAGAAGACTGAGTCTTGGGTTGAAAGCTCAGAGAGGCAAAGTTTCTCTTTCTCTTGGATATTAATGACAGAACTGCCCGGGAAGATGTCACAATCATCTTCTCATACAAAGGGAAAGCCTACTTGATAATGGGGCCAATCTCAAGGATTGTGAGAGCCAAAAAATGGGGAAAGAAGCCAAGTTCTGGTCACTTCATTTGAGTCCTAATTAAAGCCTTGCCCAAACCATTCAGTTCCAAAGCAAATAGATTCCCCTTTTCAGCTTTAGCCAATTTGGATTGAGTTTTCCATTATTTGAGACCAAAAACTTCTTAACTGAAATACTTCCTGTCTGTTGGAATGGAGAATATTAACCGCCAAATGAGACTGCATATCAGATTCAGTCGTGATTCAGGAGACAAAATTACCAAAAGCAAATGAGTTAGCAGAAAAGAACTAGCAGAGCAGGCCTGAGGGAAAGTGGGGTGATAGAATTCCACTAGAAGTAGCTGGCTCACGTCTCCACCTAAAACAGCAGGCCCACACTTTCTCCTGGTGTAATAGGATGTCTTATGTGGGAGGAGTACAGACAGGACGCCTGTGGGACTCTCAATCTGCCAAAGCATGGAGCAGCTCCACTGAGAGTTGTATCAAAACCCCATGTTCTGTCAAGAGAAAATAAGAGAAGGTAAAAAGGCTTGATAAATGAAAATTTTAGATCATTGTTTAAAAAGGCCTGCAAATGTCCAGTATGACCCACAGTGCCCAGCACTATGGGGTAGGAGCCTCCAGGCAGTAGCAATACATGCAGACAGATGATTTGGTGTGGTTTCAGGTGGGTAATCCATTTGTGGGTAAGACCCGGGCAAACTGAGAAGTACAAGGGGAAGGGTGCCACCTCTTGGGGCAAAAGGTTGAAGTTCATGAGAACTGTGCAGTAAACCCCTCCTCTTGCATCTCTAGTATGGTTTCTCCTTCTTCACTTCCATCCCCAACACTTCAGTAACTTAGTAACTCAATATTACACAATCATCCCTCAGTAACAGTGAAGGATTGGTTCCAGGACCACCCCCATGGACACCAGAATCCTCAGGTGCTCCCTTATATAATTACTTAGTATTTGGATATAACCTACACACATCCTCTTGTACACTTTAAATCATCTCTAGAGTACTTATAATACCTAATATGATACCTACACATCATTTCATTTGTTTGATTCAACATAGTACTAGGCACACAGCAAGTTTAAGTTTTGCTTTTTGGAACTTTGTGTAACTTTTTTCAACTGGATATTTTTGATTGAATACACAGATGCGGAACCCACAGATATGGAGGACTGATTGTACTTTATAAAGAACTATGCAGAAATACTGGAATGTCCTTAATGTAAGCTCCACAAGGGAGGCGACTTGTGCCTGTTCATTGCTCTATCTCCAGCAAACAACACAGCATCTGAAACATAAAAGGTGTTCAATAATACTCATTGAATGAATGAGTGTACTTGGCAGGCTGCTGATACTAGATCCCAAGAAAGAAAAAGGGACTCTGGCTACAATGGAGAAAGTGAAGCATTTCACAGGAAAAGGCTGGGCTGGTGTAGGTGGGGAGGGGAGTGTTGATGGGCACGTAGAAACAGCCACTTCCTCTTTGGCAACAGACAAAACTCTCTATGAAAATATTTACTATGGAGGGGATTGATGGGGTAGTCAGAGGTGACTTTCAACCAATACACATTAGTTCAGCTGTACTGGTTGTTTATAGCTGAATGGTCAGCGTCATTGTTATACCGGTTATTAAATACTTAGAATATCACCCTAGAAAGAGTGCATAGTATACTCTCTAGTCTGGAAAGCATGACCCCTGGGCATGGGCATGACTAAGCATGCAGGGGAAAGCCACCGGATCAAAAGAAGAATCAAGACAGCCACAGCCAAGACTCATAAGATAAGACTTAGGTTCTGTGACTCATGCCTGGATACTTTTTTCAGCAGCCATACCCTTTGGGGACCCGGGATAAATTAAACAAAGACCAAAGTAATCCAAATTCCACAACTTAAAAAAATTTTATTAATATCACATTCCACCATGAGGACCAAAATTTAAATGCTTGTACCTGGTCCTAAAATAGGCATTCTGAATAAGGCTTATATGAGGGGGGAAAAATACCCCTTCTCCTACTTTGCCATCATGATCTTTGTCCTCAATTTGTGGATGTTTATCCCAAGAAGTCCCCATCTACTTTGAATCTCCAGATTCAAGCTCATTCATTTATTCTTGCATTCAAATAATGTGCTTTGAGCTTATACTCCATGCCAGGCACTGAAGTTACAGCAATAAACCAAAAAGAAATGATCCTTTCATTCTGAGAGTGTATAGTCTATTAAGAAAGAAAGATAATAAGCAAATAAACAAATAAGATGGGTCTTTTAGACGGTACTAAGTGCCATAAAGAAAATAAAACAGGGCAATAAGGTAGACAGCAACCATGGAAGAGGGAGAAGCTTTAGAGAGAGTGGCAGGTAAGTATATTTTGAGCTCAGACTTGGATGAGATAAGATAGCAAACCCAGCAGATATTTGAAGAAAGAGTATTTAGAACTTAAAAACACATGAAGGCAAAGGCCCTAAAGGTTAGAATTTGCTTGGTGTTTTCAAGAAATTAAAAGAAGTCCAGTGTCACTTGAGCATAGTGAGCAAGGGGAACCCTGATTGGAAAAGAAGTGGGACAGGAGGGCAGGGGCTGCTTCGAGGAGGGGTCGGAAGCCATAGCTGGGAGTTAGCCCAGTCATCAAAGTTTAATGGAGAGCCAGAGGATTTTAGGTAAATGAGTGACATCACCTGACTTACATGTTTAAAACTCATGCTTGTGTGGCTAAGGTGGACACAGAAGACGTCAGGAGCCAGGAAGAACAGGAGTCTGTTACAGGACTCCGGGCAAGAGATATTGGTGGCTTAGGTGGTAAGGATGGAAAGAAGAGGAAACCCACCCTCCTTGGGGGTTCTTAGCACCTTGGAAGAGTTTTAGTCCCTTCCCTGTGTCCACATCAAAAGGTAGTAATGATAATAACAAGAGCAGCAGCTCTGAGCAGTAACTGTATGCCAGATACTGTCCTCATAACATCCTTTTCACATGCAATCTCATTTCATCTTCTCAATGAATCCATGAGAAAGGTTGTTAGGGACTGAGCTGTGATTCCCCAAAATCCATATTTTGAAGCTCTGCTCCCAATGTTACTATATTTAAAGACAGGACCTTTAAGGAGGTGGTTAAGATTAAACGAGATCATATGAGTAGGGTCCTAATACAACGGGATTGGTGTCCTTATAAAAAGAGCAAGAGAGGACGGCATGGTGGCTCACGCCTGCAATCTTTGGGAGGCCAAAGCGGATCACCTAGGTCAAGAGTTCAAAACCAGCCTGGCCACCATGGTGAAACCCCATCTCTACTAAAAATACAAAATCAGCCCGGTGTGGTGCAGGCGCCTGTAATCCCAGCTACTCAGGAGGCTGAGGCAGGAGAATCACTTGAACCCAGGAAGCAGAGGATGCAGAGAGCCAAGATCGTGCCATTCCACTCCAGCCTGGGTGACAGAGCAAAAACTCTGTTACAAAAAAAAAAAAAAGGAGAAGACGACGAAGACGAAGAAGAAGAAGAAAGAAGAGGAAGAGAAAACAGCTCTCTCTCCCTCTATGTTCATACAGAGGAAAGGCCAGGAAAGGACACAGAGAGAAGATGGCCTGCAAGCCAACAAGCGAGGCCTCAGGAGAAACCAAACTTGATGACACCTTGGTCTTGGACTTCTAGCCTCCAGAACTGTAAGAAAATGACTTATGTTGTTTAAGCCACCCAATCTATGGTATTTTGTTAGGGCAGCCTGAGCACACTAATAAAAAGGTACCTGCATCAAATAGCATGTAGAGGCTGGGCGCAGTGGCTCACACCTGTAATCCCAGCACTTTGGGAGGCTGAGGCAGGTGGATCACAAGGTCAGGAGATTGAGACCATCCTGGCTAACACGGTGGAAACCCCATCTCTACTAAAAATACAAAAAACTAGCCGGGCATGGTGGCGGTTGCCTGTAGTCCCAGCTACTCGGGAGGCTGAGGCAGGAGAATGGTGTGAACCCGGGAGGCACAGATGTTGCAGTGAGCGGAGATCGCGCCACAGCACTCCAGCCTCAGCGACAGAGCGAGACGCTGTCTCAAAAAAAAAAAAAAAAAAAAAAATAGCATGTAGAACAGGGTCCTCCTGGTTAGACTTCCTGAGTTCAAACCCCAGCTTCACACTTCATAGCTTACCTACTTCCTTGGCTTCTGTTTTGTTTTATTGCTTTTTAGCTTTATTGAGGTGTAACTGACAAATAAAAATTACATATATTTAAGGTACACAACTTGATGTTTGATATATAATGTGAAATAATCACCATGCTCAAGCTAATTAACATCTATCACCTCCCATTGTATTTTATATATGAACGATGAAAACACTTGCAAATTTCAAGAATACAGCAAAGTTTTGTTAACTATCATCACCATATTGTACATTGAATCTCCAGAATTTGTTTTTTATAACTGAAACTTTGTACCCTTTAACCAATATCTCTGCATCTCCCCTGCCTTAGCTTCTTAACCATGATGCTCTATTGCTTGTCTAATGAACAGCAAATGACTCCAATGAATATAAATTATGTCAAAATTATATTAACCCTATATACCACCCAGTTGAAGATGAATATAAAATATCCTCAGCCTAAAAACCAGGTGATCTATCAGCAAGTAGCTCTGTTTAATGGAAAAGTAATGAGGGGCAGGCAGAGGATAGTATTTAATACTGGAGCTCAGTGAGGAAAAAGCTGTTCCCCCAAAAGCTTTGACTCCAAATACTTGGCAGCTAAATAAAAAATCTGTAAGACCTCCCTCCTTTCAACCTCATTCTGATTGAAGCCACCCTCAATAGGTTCCATCAGGCACACGGAAGCATAGAATGTTAGCCCAGGGAGAAACAATGGAGTTTCTATCTTGTCCAGGCCCTTATCTTGACAAGTGAGGAGATGGAGGTGCAGAATGATCAAGTGACTGCAGAAATTTACAGTTAGTGGGGCCACTGTTATGGAATTGTCCAACTGTTGCTTTAATAAATTCCATTTTTAAATCTCTCTGAAAGCCGTCTGTATATTTTAGCAGAACAGCATGTCCCGCCTCAGACATGGCTGAAGTTCAGGCTGATCTAATGAGCAAAAAAGCTTGAAGGAAACCTTCCTGGGGCTGCTTCTGGCCATTATTTTAATCCTTTTTTCAAGGACATGCAGCCCATACCACAGCCAGGTGGGTGGGAGCAACTCCTCCGGAGCAATTCAGCCACTGGAAGAGATGGGGCATGGTGCTCCCAGCAGATTTTTTTAAAATAAATGCTCATTTCCTTTCACATTTTGCAAGAGGACCATTTAGTGACACAAATTTTTTTCCCATTCACATTCAGCTGCCTACAGGCATGTGACTTCATGACTTTCTACAGATGCTTCCAGGCACTGATCACGCCAGCTCTTTGTCACTGATACACTCCTGCCATTGAGCTGAAGTTAGCAGGAGGATGGAGGTGGCATTTTTCCCTTGAAAGGCTGAGAAAATCCCTCGCCCCCACATCCAATCAGCCTCTGGAGTCTGCCATTTCTTCCTTCCCAATGTCTCTCGCATCTGTTTCTCCCCTCCCCTCCCACTGTCACTGCTCTGGTTCAAGACTCGATCACTTTCTGCCTGGGCTGCTGCAACAGCCTCCTCCTGCCCTTCCCACCTCTGGATTTTCCCTCTGGATCCACCCAGGATACCACCATTCGAGCCATCTCCCCACTGTCTTTATCACTCCCCTGCTCAGAAACCTCCAGTGGCTTTCTATGGCCTAATGTATGAAGTCACATCTCCTTAGCTCAGAATTAAAACCCTGTGTGTTGGGCCCAGTCTGCCTTTCCACTCCACCCCCAACAAGCCCTGTGCTCTAACCAACAGATTCACCCAACGTATCCCAAAGACGTCACACATCACTTCCCGTTTCTGAAATTTTACTCATGTTACTTCACTTGTCTTTAATGACTTCCTGACTGTCTTCCATCAAAGCCCTATTGATTCTCTAAGAACCAACTCTGTATTCATTCATCCATTTTTTCATTCAGCAAAGAATGACTGAGAAGCACATTGCCTCTCCCAAAGCGCTGGGGAAGCAGTGGATGAACAAGGCAGATGTGATATTTACAGTCTAGTGACAGAGAGAGATAAAGAAATATACAAATAATATAAAGTAATATCCATAAATGCAATAATGGCCTACCCATAAATGCAAGAAGGGTTAGTCAGGAGAAAAATGGAGGGAGAATTATTAAGCCACCTCCTTTGGAATGGGAGGTCAGGAGGCCATCTCTGGAGCAGCGACATCAGAACTGAGAGCTGAAAAGTGAGTTGGCCTTTACCACTCAAGACAGGGAGTCATGAAAGGCTCCAGAGGTGGTGAGGGAGGCAGCGGTGGGTCTGACCTCCTGAGAAATTAGAGTACAGAAAGACAAAGCAGGAGCCAGTCTCCAAAGAGATGATACACACTCAGAAACATTGTTTACCTGTCCCTTTTGCAAGCATAAGAGGACTTGTGAAGATGTACTGCCTGTTCCATCACGGATCTGGTTAAGCCAGTGGATGGTGACACCATCGAATAAATAACCTACAGCCAGCTAGTTAACAGTGACCAGGAGGACAACCTGCTTATTGATTCACTCAGAACTACTGGGACATTCCCAAAGCTCCTGGCATGTTTCCTGGCCTCTCTTACTCCTTTGTATGTTGTATATACTCACACACACACACAAATCAAGGAGCACTTTGTACGTGTGTGTATGTAAGGAAGTAAAGGTATGTGCTGGCAGTTACTAGGGATACAGGATGTTAGAGTTAGCCTCTGTTAATCTCCAACCCTTCCTCATTCTCTGCTCCTGACTCCTAACCACACACCATTTCTGGACTTACAGGCACAGTGCAACTGGAGCCAAATGTCCCCCAAATTTGACCAATCCTTGAGACATCTCTGGTTCCTCAGCAGGGAGAGTGCAGTTGGCCTCTGCCTCACCACCCTTCCCAAGACTGCAACAGTTTTAAGTGGATCCTATGCACTCTCCCCTGATACTCTAAATTCTATGTCCAGGCACAGAAGTGAAAGCTACAGGAGTCCCCTAGGACAGGCCCTGGCAAGCGGCAGAGAACTCACCTTACGGAGGAGACTTGTGCCTCCTTTAGTTGCTTTTGAAGGGGCTGGGAATGAGCATGTGGGAAGAGGGATAGACATGCATGTCATCAGCCCTTTAATAATGAGTAGGTGAAAAGGGAGGAAGAGGGTCTCCAGGCAAAGGGAACAGACTGGGGAAGGACCTTGAGGGGAACAACCTTGGTGTCTATAAAAAAAACATGTTTTCAAAGTTTGGCTGGAACACTGAGAGGGACAAAGACCCAAAGGAGACTGGGGAGGTTGGCAGGGGCCAGGTTACTGCAAGCTACATTCTAAGTGTGATGGAAAGCCACCAACAAATTTTAAGTCAACTATAGCACCCCCTTCCTCCAGGGATCTTCCACACCACTATCCCAAACCCTAGTCTCTTGGCCGTTTGCCATGAGCTACACGGTGACAGCTTCTCCATCAGTGTCTACGGATTCCATGTTCCATGTTCAAGGTACCAGAGATGAATTTGACCCCTGCAAACCCTCATGAGCTGTGGGTTGAAACCTTCTTGTCTAACTCCACCATGTGACCAGCTGCTTTGTGTCACCTTCTGCCCTGCTCCTCCTTGCTGCTCCGTTCACCAATTGGGACTGAAGCCCAGTCCTGTACCCCAGCCTGGAGGCCTGAGGCCCCTGGCCACTCTGCTGTCCTATGACCCTTAGTGCTGGCTGCTCCCACATCAGAAGTTCAGCTGTTAGGAATTTTTTTTTTTCTTTTTGAGACAGGGTCTCACTCTGTTCCCCAGGCTGAATGCAGTGGCGTGTTCACAGCTCACTGCAGCCTCAACCTCCCAGGCTCAAGCGATTCTACCACCTCAGCCTCCCCAGTATCTGGGACTACAGGCACACACCACCAAACCTGGCTAATTTTTGAATTTTTTGTAAAGACTGGGTCTATGTTGCCCAGGCTGGTCTCAAACTCCTGGCCTCAAGCAATCCTCCGACCTCAGCCTCCCAAAGTGCTGGGATTACAGGTGTGAGCACCATGGCTGGCCTCTTCTAGGATTTTGATGCCAGCCATCCTCAGACCTTGAGCCACTGTTCTCAAAGTGGTCCATGAGGCATCCACATCAGAATCACCAGAGATACTTCATACATGCAGATTTCCAGGTCCACCCTGGACCTTCTCAATGTGGAGCCTAGACATCTGCGTTTTTAACAAGTTTCCTAGAGAATGTTTTTGGACACACAAGTTTGAGAGCCAATATTCTAAGCCCTGGATGTTTGACAATTTAAGTGCTGGTAGCACTACTCTCCCCAGCCAGTCTTGGCTCACTCTTTTCTTCCTGCCAAAAATTCCTGGGATACTAGAGAATCTAGACCATGCTACCCACAACACAGCCCAAGCAGAGTGGCTTGAACAGGGCTGATACTTTGTAATTATGTTCCAAATCATTGTAAATGGCCTGGAATTTACAGGCCTCATAGCTGCCAATGGGCCACTCCAGCCTCATAGCTGCCAATGGGCCACTCTAGGGTGCTTGCAACTGTACATCATTCTATGTGAGTGAGGGCCATCCTTCCACTGTAGCTAGTACATTAAATCAGATGGCAAGTGAATTCTCACACTAGCTGCACATCTTTTCTGCCAACACAAGCAGTAACCTGGAACTCAGTAGGTCCCTTTGTCATTGTTCCTGCAAAACCACCTCTGTTACTGGACCAGCCACAGTGAATGCATGCACGCCAGATGGAGAATGGGAAAGTGAGAGCTTCCTCACACAAATACACACAACATATTTTAGAGTCACTATTATTACATTTCTTAAGGTGAAAGTGACTTGACTTTGCCCACATATGCTTCCATTCAGGCCAATGAGAACAAAAAAATTCGTTGCTTAATTGATTACTATGAGCAACGCTGTTACGTGTAATAATTGCCATTCCTGCATATAGTACAGGGACCGCTGGGGAAGTGTCTCTTTCTAGAAAAGCAAAGGTGACACAGTAGGAAGGGCGTGGCTCTGGCATCAGGCAGACCCAGGTTTAATCCTAACTCTAGTGTCATAGCTGAGTGACCTTGGGTAAGATCCCTGGAGCTCAGCTGCTTAACCCCCCACCGAGCCTCACTTTCCTCATCTGTACAGTAGAAATACCATTCATAATTGGCCTGGATATAATAAGTCCTAGTCCCTCCTTCCCTCCCTGGTGATTCATACACCGGCTGAGAAGAGGGGGCCAGTTCCACCTGCAGTGCCGCCCCTGCTCGTACTTGAAGCCGTGAAGTCAGTGTCTGTCCTAGGCCCCTCTGAGGTCCTTGGACCTCCTCATCCTCAGAGGCAGATCTGCAGAATGAATAATGAAGAGAACCATAAGATACCCAAGCCAGGCAAGTGACAACAAACCAGGCTTTCCATAGCTCAGGTCTCCTGCCTGGGTCAGGTCATTCATTAGGTTTAATTACATTCTTCCAAAGTCAGAGGATATATACCTAATGTAAATGACGAGTTAATGGGTGCAGCACACCAACATGGCACATGTATACATATGTAACAAACCTGCACGTTGCGCACATGTACCCTAGAACTTAAAGTATAATATATATATATGTGTGTGTGTGTGTGTGTGTGTGTGTGTGTATATATATATATATATATATAAAGAATGACTTAAAGCAAGAGTAACTTTGCACTTCATGCAAGCCCCATGAGAACAGAGAACTATTACTGCTGTATTCCCTTTGTGATCAAGCACAGCACGAGGTCCATGGTAGATGTTGGGAGAACCCTGGCTCCAAGGCATCAAATTTCCACAGAGTAAAAGAATGCTCTCCGCCCCTTTCTCTCTGCCCCTACTCCCTGTTCCTTCCTTCCAGAGTCATGACTTATGTGATCAGTGAGTGTGGGAGAAGGAATTGAAGATGTTTCATTCCAGTCACCCCACCCTGTCTCTCTCTCATTTATAGAGAACCCTGACTTCTAGACACAGATTTTTCTCTGCTTGTCCATGCAGTAAATCTACCAGGATCTTCCCCAGTAATGACAATAATAACAACAATGACAATCAACACCTACAGAGCTCTTACAATATTCCAATTGCTCTCCTAAGCATTTTATGGGTATTTCATTTGATACTCACAATGACATCCTATACGGTACCTTATTATCATTACCTCTATTTTACAGATGAGAAAACAGAGGTTCATAGAGATTAAATAACTTGTTTCAGATGACACAGCCACCAAGTGGAAGAGACAAGATTTGAACCCAGGCAATCTGGTTCCAGTGGCCTCATTTCGAACCTCTGTGCACGCTGCCTCTTGTTACACTGTTAAGAAGGAGGTGTCAGTTTGGGGGAATGTTAAACTCAGGGGTATGTTTTAGAAAGCCACACTGGAGGCTATGTGCTAAGCCAAGTTCTCATACTCGGCCAGGACCTCCCAGAGCTTTCAAATGATTCTCAAGAACCCTCTGAAGCCAGGAGAGACAAAAGGCACAGGGTGAAATATCAGATGAGTGTGTATCCAAAGCCACCTGGTAGACCCACTGGGAGGAGAACCCAGCTGTCTGCTGGACACACTCAGCCATCATCCTAAGTCATTCATTCAACACCAGAGGTAGCGTGGCACAGAAAGAACACGGGCAGCTACGGAAAGCATGTATGATATGACTTGGGTGGGGGAATTATATTAGTAATAGCAAAGATTTGCATACTACCAAACACTGTTCTAAGGTCTTTATTTTATATTATTTCATCCACACCACAAGCCTATAGGGAAGTCCTATTGTTATCCAACTTGATAGATGGAGAAGCTGAGACAGAGAGAAGCTAAGTAACATGTCCAAAGTCACACAGCATGTGAATGATGAGGCTGAGACGGGAATCCAAGCAGTCGGCCCCAGAGGCCATGCCCTTAACCACTCACTCCACTGAAAGAAAAAGAAATAGAGAAAGAAAGAGATTGAAAGAAAGGAAGCAAGCAGGCAAAGGTTTTGACATCAGATCCAACTTCAAATCCTATCTCTGCAAATGTATTAGTAAAGCATTGCAGTTTGCACACAATTTCTGAGCCTCAGTTTGCTCCTGTGTACGAACTCCCTCATAGGACTGTGGTGAGAATTCAGTAATGTAACATATGCCAAGTTCACAGGAATGTGGTAGGAAGTCGATCAATGTTGTCCCCAATCCCATACTGCAGTGCCAGGCCATGTGTAGGGCCCTGGGGACACAAAGTTACCCCAAACCTCAGCCCTGCCCACAAGGATCTGCCTGCCTTGCAGAGCTTGATGGAGACCTAGAAACAGGATTGCAATATAAGGTAAGACACAGAGTGAGAGAGACATGAACCCAGGGCCACAGAGGACAAAGGAGAGGGTGATTTCTTCTGCCTGGGAGGGTCGGTCATCGGATCCGGATCTTGCATGCTAAATGGAAGTTCGCCAGGTGAGAGAAGAAAGAAAATATTTCCATCTAACTTGAAAGCCTTTTACTGCTGCCACTGTCAAGGTTGGCCCCTGCACTTAGATTCTGTTTTCCCTTCTTGTGACACCGTGGGGGAGGATAAGAATATATGTTTCACCAACTTTTCATTGAAGGCCATCACGGGCCAATAGCAGGAGAGCTGACTCCATCCAGAGGCCTGCCTGTGGGTTGCATTTTAAACTGTTATTGTTTTCTCATAACACAACAGGGAACCCAAGAGGCTGTTTTATATTCCAAATACCTAAAGATTATATCCCTTATAGGGATGTATTTGTTCTGGAACTGAGATGATGCTGGGAAAAGCTGCAGAATTAATCACCTCAAGCTATAAATCTCCTATTTATTTCTTGATGAATTTACAATGACAACTTGTAAATTTCCCCACACCTACCTACCTACCTACACACACACATACATACATACACACATACACACACACACACACAGGGGCTGTTTAATTGGACAGATAAGCTATGGAGTCGATTGTATCAGTGACAACAACACAATAATGGCAACACTAATAGAAGCTACAATTCAGTGAATGGTTCCTGCATGCCAGGTCTATACCAAGTGCTAAACATACAGGTTCTCACCCGGTCCTCAGAGCAACCCCATGAGGTAGGCTATATTGCCCCATTTTAGATAAAGTGACAGACTGAAGCTCAGAGAGGTAGGGTAATTTGCTGAAGACACAGAGCTAATAAGCTAAGCCTCAAGCCCGAAGCCAAGGGATGCAGGTGCATGTTGGAAACCAGAAGTTGTCTCAAGCGAGCCTGCTAGTATCAGTGAGAGCTGTTCTTTGTTTGGACCACAAGGCCCAAAGCACTTCCAAGTGGGGGCTTCTAAGGAGTCAGGATGCAGATTCTCTGGAGTTGTGGGTAGAGCTCATCATGCCCAGTGCCACTGGGCTGGAAAGAGTACGAATGAGGGGCTTGCAGGAGCAATACTTTGAAAACCAAATAAGTAGGCATCTGTTTCAGTTCCCATCCGTAGCCTGGGTGGTAGGTGAGAGACCAACACAGAGATGCCTATTAAATGAGGGGTGGAAGGTAGAGGAAGAAAAAGAGGAAGGGAGGGTAAGACAAAGAGAAACATAAGAGAAATTAGCAAGTTTTCAGAAAATAGAAACTCAGGAAGCAGTTGCTAGGGCAATGTAATAAATTCCACCCAATGACATATTCCTCACCCAGAAGCCCTTGAGACAAACCAAGCAAACAGAACACCAATACCTACTTTATAACATCTTACAGAAGCTGCCTCACTCAGGATAAGATCTGCAGTATCCCCCAAATAAGCCCGGGACCTTTGCACCCCACACCTCTGACCCAAGCCTCAAGACAAGATTCTATAAGGGCAAAGCCTGAAGAGTTTATTAATTAATGTTATTTATTCAACAAATATTTCAACTATTGTAATGGGCAATGAGCTGGGAGTGGATGATGCAGCAACGAACAAAATGCTCACAGGGTGTAACTCCTAGTAGAGGAAACAGACAAAGAGGTAAAATATAAGGTATATTACATGGTCATAAGTATGATGGAGAGAAATAGAAAAGGGAGCTAGGAAGTATCAGGTGGGAGATGGGAAGAGTGACTTTCAATAGGAATGTCAGAGAAGGCCTCACATGAAGGTGACAGTAAGCAAAGATATGAAGATGGTAAGGGAACAATGGAGGAGGGAGGTTTTCAAGTAGAGAGGACAGCAGGTGCAAAGGTCCTGAGGCATAAACATGCCTGGCACAGTCAATGACCTCCAAGGCCAGGGTGGCTAGGGCAGAGTGAAACAGAAGTGGAGTGGCCAGAGACGCCAAGATCAAGGAGTGGGGATGTCTGAGGCTACTGTAGGAACTTTGGCTTTTATTCCAAATAAGATGAGAAAGCACGGAAGGTTTCTGGGTAGAGGAGTGACATGAAGAGATTTATGCTTCATCAGCATCATTCTGGGTGTTGAGGATAGACTTAAATGGTACAAGATAGGAAGCAGAGAGGCCAGTCAAGAGGTTATTGTAGGAATCCAGGTGAAATATAATAGTAGCTTGGATCAGGGTGTGGCAGAAGAGGCCATTAGAGTACCCAAATCAGGATTGGCCAAAGGATTGAATGAGGAATGTGAGGGTAAGAGGAGCCAAGACTGACTCCAAAGTCGCCCGCACCCAGCTCTGAGTTCTTAGCTGAATTCTTATGGAGACTTCACGTCTAAGCCTCCTTGATATCTGAGTGACAGTTTATTCTTCAATTTTGTTTCCTTTCCTTACAGTAAGTGCATGAACTGGAGGTGTCATGGGAATAACAATGTATGGGGGAAAGGAATCCCCTTTCACATTTAAATCCTTCCCATTAATTATGTGCCATTCACATGCGACCTCATTTAATCCTCCCCACACCTCCAGGAGATGAACACTGCAATCATCATGTTATAAACTAAGTTTCAGAGAGATAAACAGCTTGTCCAGAGCCACACAGCAACATTTGGTCCCAAAGCCCGGATCTCCTGATAGCGTGTCTCATGAGCTTTCTATTACTATTACCCTATAGCTGCCTCAATGATTTTGGTTTTGTCAAAGTTCATTCGGCAAATAATTATTAAGCATCTCTAGGGCAAATACCAGGCGCTGTGCTTATTTCTGGGTCATAGCAGGAGAGTTACAATCCTGGCACTTAAGGCATCTCAACCATGACTTGGGAGGGAGACAGACCCAGCCACCTCCACTCTCTACATTAGGAAGTCCACACCTCTGTTTTCTGGGGAGGGAAGGAACAATGTGTCCTCTGTGCTCCGCTCACCCTCCTTTTCCTCTGCCCTTCCACACAGCTAGGTAGGCAGGCCCTTCTCCCTGGAAAATGCTAGAATCCAGCTCTAGACCCACTGGATTGGAACCGGCGTGCTGACCTGGTGCAAACGAATCGCTGCAGCGAGGCCACCAGCTAGGTGTGGCAGAATTGGCTGCAAGCAAAGAGACAATAAAGAAATCTCTAACATGTGCCAAGGGAGGGATTATCATACGGGCTCTTGCTTTTTATGAAATAGGAAAAGCGGATTTTTCTAGTTGACTGCATTTGATCGTTTTTCCTCCATTTGTTTTAAAGTTGAACATCTGATCTGGCAGGGACTTCTTACACTCAGCTGAAAAAAGATGTCTTTTGGGCTCCTCTCCCAGGCTCCTGTCAGAGGGGATGAGGGTGGAGGGCTTAGGGCATCACTCCACCACCCTCTCCACATACAGCACAGCCCTTGGCATAAATCTGCCTAAAATTCCTTCTAATTTTGTCTGTGCTTACCCGCCCAGGGACCTCATCCTTCTGGGCTTAATATATCGCTTTTTATTTTTCCCATGGCCTCACAATTTTTTCTATTACTTCTGAATCTTTTTATAGAGCTGGCTTCTCTCCCTAATATAAATTATTACTTCCACCTGGAAGCCAAGAAGAGGCCACCTCAATAGGACCAGAAGGCCCAGAAATCTCCCCTATCCAAACCCAAACCAAGCACAATTGTTGTCACTGCCCTGAGACTCTCACCTTGGACCTCTAAGTCCAGGGGGCTGGAAGGTTCTGAAGCAGAAAGGCAGCAACACGGAGCAGGGCAGGGCATGTCAGTGTTCAGTGTACAAACCTGCCACCTGGGATCTCGTTAACATGCAGATTCTGATTCAGTAGGTCCAGGGTGGGGTCCGAGATTCTGCACCTCTAACCAATTCCCAGGTGATGGCCAGGCTGATGGTCCACGGGCCACACTTTGAGTAGCAAGAATGAAGGCGGAAAGCCCATGGGTTAGGAAGCCTTGACTCTACCATTAATTCACTCCAAGTGGACAAGATTGCTGTTTCCAGATGTGGTTTGCAGAATATAAACCCCTTGTGATGCTCCTTAAAAAAAGAAAGAAAGAAAGAAAGAAAGAAAGAAAGAAAGAAAGAAAGAAAGAAAGAAAGAAAGAAAGAAAAAGACGTTTATGATCAAGGTTAGGTAGGGTTGGGAAATACTACATACTTTATGTGTACATTACACTTGCTAGCAAAGGCCCTGCAAAGTTCTGTTTTGATATTATTTAACTCTGTATACCTCAGCAGGATGTACTTACTCTCTGGGTGAAGAGATACTTAACCCTGGAGACAGTCTGTTCATCCATCCCTAAGCAGAGACCCAGTTGAGGGTTTGCTCTGAGGTTTTTGAAGCTACCTATGAACAGGAGTCAGGGAATCTATCAACCTCTGAACTCTTGGGTTAAAGCTACTCAGCACACAGAGTTTCAGATGATTTTACCACTTGCCCGCCAGAGGGAAAAAACCAACACCCCAGCCCTCACATAACCTCTGTTTCTCTGCATTGAGAATATCTCCAGAAGCACCCCATGGTTCACAGGCCTGCAGCCGCACCAATACCTGCCTTCAACAAATATTTGAAGAGGATCCAGGGAGAAGTTATAGACCCAGCAACAAGAGATGCTGTTTGCCTGGCATCCTATATGCATGTGTGTCAAAGGGACTTTGCCCCAGACTTGTTGGGAGATAATAATCTCTCGTGTTCCCAATGTGATTTGTAAATTTCAGCCACTGAAATGCCAGCCATAATCCATCCTTGTGGCAATCATTCTGTTTCTGTCCAGGAAGGGGTGTATTCTTTGGGTCCTGCTATCACTTAAGCACAAATCTGCCCCCTTAGGTACATCCCCTCCTCCCTTCTTTCTGGGGAAGTCAGAGAGGGGCCACCAGCATATTCTCCCCTCAAGCCTAAGATCTGGAGACAGACCCCACAGCAGAGTCTCAGTTCTAGAGAATGGGTGCATATATCTAGGAACAGAATCCTGGCACCACAGGAACTCACGGGGGCTGCCTCCTACAAGACCAAAGCCTTGTTTTGCACAGAAGAGTTCATTGGCTTAAAGTCTATGGATTTAGGCAGCAAAACCAGGAAACCCAATTGGCCAGTGACGTTGGGGAAAACTTTTCTCTTTCAGAGGTACCTGCTATCCTAATCCTAACCTTGGAAATATTCCACACCAACAAGACTGGAGCAGAGCAGGCAAAACTCAACTTTCCTACTCTACTTCTCCTACAGGATTCATAGTGTCAAAGGCCTTATAGCCAGTGCCAAGAACCGGCCTTCCCCGCCTCTATGGGAAATAGTCACAGATAACTGCAGCAACTCTTTGTCTTCATGGCTTCCCAGGAACTCAAGAGCTGACATATAAACAAAATAGATGCAGCTTATTTATTAAACCCACTGTTACAAAAACGCTCTGTAACTTGAAGCTATAGCATCAGCAGCACTGAATCTCTGCAAGACCGGGAGGTAAATAAGAGGGAAGAGACCAGCAGCCAAGACCCCATAAAATTATTTCTTTCTTTAAAAAAAGATTTTTTAAATATTCAAGCACAAAGTATACTAATGGGATTGATAGTCTTATTGAAACTTTCAGTCACTAATTGTAGCCCAGTGAAATTACAAATTAATAAATGCAATGAAGTGCGTAGACTACTCACAAATACATAAACGAATGATTACAGGCATACCTGATTTTATTGCACATCACAGGATTACAGGCATATCTTGTTTTCTTGTGCTCTGCTTATTGTACTTCACAAATAGTGTGTTTGTTACAAATTGTGGCAACCCTGTGTAGAACAAGTTTGTGTCATTTTTCCAACAGTGCATGCTCATTCCTTGTCTTACATTTTGATCATAATCAAAATATTTCAAACTTTTGTAAATCTGTGATCAAAGATCTTTGATGTTAGTTTTGTAAATGTTTGGGGGTGCCACCAACCATGCCCACAGAAGGTGGCAAGTTTAATTGACAAACATTGCATGTTTAGACTTCTCTGTTTCCTTATCGCTCTCCCTCTCCTCAGGCCTCCCTATTCTCTGGGACACAACAATATTGAAATTAGGCTAACTAAAAACCCTACAATGGCCTCTAAGTGTTCAAGTAAAGGAAGATTATACATCTCGCACTTTAAATCAAAAGGTACAAATGATTAAGCTTAGTGAGGAAGGCATGTCAAGGGCCAAGATAGGCCAAAAGCCAGGCCTCTTGCACCACAGTTAGCCAAGTTGTGAATGCAAAGGGAAAGTTCTTGAAGGAAATCAAAGGTGCTACTCCAGTGAACACATGAATAAGAAAGCGAAACAGCCTTACCGCTGATATGGAAAATGCTGAGTGGTCTGAATAGGTCAAACCAGCCACAACATTTCCTTCAGCCAAAGCCTAATCCAGACCAAGGCCCTAACTCTCATCAATTCTGTGAAGGCTGAGAGAGGTAAGGAATCTACAGAAGAACAGTTTGATGCTAGCAGAGGTTGTTTCATGAGGTTTAAGGGAAAAAAGCTATCTCTGTAACATAAAAGTGCAAGGTGAAGCAGCAAGTGCTGATAGAGAAGCTATGAGTTATCCAGAAGATCTAGCTAAGACTATTGATGAAGGTGGCTGCACTAGACAGATTTTCAACGTAAATGAAACAGTCTTATTCTGGAAGAAGATGTCATCTAGGGCTTTCACAGCTGCAGAGGAGAAGTCAATGCCTAGTTTCTTTTTTTTTTTGAGACAGAGTCTCACTCTTGTCACCCAGGCTGGAGTGCAGTGGTGTGATCTTGGCTCACTGCAACCTCTGCCTCCCAGGTTCAAGCGATTTTCGTGCCTCAGCCTCTCAAGTAGCTGGGACTACAGATGTGCACCACCATGCCCGGCTAATGTTTGTATTTTAATAGAGATGGGGTTTCACCATGTTGGCCAGGCTGGTCTCAAACTCCTGACCTCAGGTGATCTGCCCACCCCAGCCTCCCAAAGTGCTGGAGTCACAGGTGTGAGCCACCACACCCAGCCAATGCCTGGTTTCAAAGCATCAACAGACTGGCTGACTCCCTTATTAAGGACTAATGCAGCTGGTGACATTAAATTGAAGCTAATACTCATTTATCATTCTGAAATCCTATGGCCCTTAAGAATTATGCTAAATATAATATGCCTGGGATCCAGAAAAAGAACAATAAAGCCTAGATGACAGCACATCTGTTTATACCATGTTTTACTGAATATTTTAAGCCCACTGTTGAGATCTACTCCTAAGAAAAAAAGACTCCTTTCAACATATTACTGCTCATTGGCAAAGCACTTAGTCACCCAAGAGCTCTGATAGAGATGTGCAAGGAAATTAATGTTTTATTTTATTTTATTTTCTTGTAAAGACAGAGTCTTGCTCTGTTGCCCAGGCTGGAGTGCAATGGCATGACCTCGGCTCACTGCAACCTCTGCCTCCTGGGTTCAAGCGATTCTCCTGCCCCAGCCTCCTGAGTAGCTGGGATTACATTTCTTAAAGACTAAGACCTGAAAGTCAAAATTATTCCTTGATCCATGGGCTGCAGAATGGATGTTGTGTTAGCAGACACGGAAATTAATGTTTTCATGTCTGTTAATTCCTCTCATGGACCTGGGCAAAGTAAATTGAAAACCTTTTGGAAAGGATTCACCATTCTAGATGCTATTAAGAACAATTGTGATTCATAGGAGGTCAAAATATTAATATTGACAGGAGTTTGGAAGAAGTTGGTTCTAATCCTCATGGATGACTTTGAGGGGTTCAGTGGAGGGAGTCACTGCAGATGAGATAGAAATAACAAGAGAAATAGAATTACAAGTGGACCCCAAAGATGTGACAGAATTGCTATAATCTCATGATAAAACTTTAACAGATGAGGAGTTGCTTCTTATGAATGAGCAAAGAGAGCAGTTTCTTGAGATGGAATCTACTGTCAGGCACAATAGCTCATGCCTGTAATCCTAGCACTATGGGAGGCCAAGGTGGGTGAATCACTTGAGGTCAAGAGTTCAAAATTAGCCTGGCCAACATGGTGAAACCCCGTCTCCACTAAAAATACAAAAAAAAAAAAAATAGCTGGGCGTGGTTGTGAACGCCTGTAATCCCAGCTATTTGAGAGGATGAGACAAGAGAATTACTTGAACCTGGGAGGCGGAGGTTACAGTGAACTGAGATCATGCCACTGCACTCCAGCCTGGGCAACAGAGCAAGACTCCATCTCAAAAAAAAAAAAGAAAGAAAGAGAGATGGAATCTACTGCTGGTGAAGATGCTGTGAGCACTGTCGAAATGACCACAAAGGATATAGAACATAAATAAAAATCATAAACTTAGTTGATAAAGCAGCAGCAAGATTTGAGAGGATTGACTTCAATTTTGAAAGTTCTACTATGGGTAAAATGCTATAAAGCAGCATTGCATGCTACCAAGAAATCTTCCATGACAGGAACAGTCAATTGATGCAGCAAGTGTTATTGTTGTATAATTTTAAGAAATTGCCACAGCCACCCTAGCCTTCAGCAACCAACACCCTGATCAGTCAGCAGCCATCAATATCCAAGCAAGACCTTCCACCAGCAAAAAGATTACAACTCTCTGAAGGCTCAGATGATCATTAGCATCCTTTGGCAATAAAGTATTTTTTAATTAAGATATGTACATTGTTTATTGGACATAATGCTATTGCACACTTAATAAAATATGCTATGCACACTAAATAAAGTATGGTATAATGTAAACATAATTTTATATGCACTGGAAAACCAAAAGGTTTCCGTGACTCACTTTACTGCAATATTAGTTTCATAGTGGTCATATGAAATTGAACTCACAATATGTCTGAGGTATGCCTGCATCTGGCTCTACTGAGGCTCAGCCTCAGTGAGGGAACTGGAGGTAGGGGACAGGGAGTGGAAGCAGATGTGGAGACTGATTAAGCCCTCTGGGGTCATCAAGGGGTAAGGTTTGAGGAACAAGAGCATGAGGCATCTGGGAGGACTTTAAACTTCCTTCCCACCCACCTTCAGCCAAGAGAACTCAAGTACCTTGAACTGCCAGACTTGGAAGCCTGAACATTTTAAGGTCTTTAATGTCCTTCCCTCTCATTTTATAAAGTCAGTAAACTGAGGGCAGGGAGATCAAGCAACATTTATACAATCATACTGCCAATTAGTGACAGACTATGGGCCCAGATGAATATGGAGTTTCCTTCCTTAGTAGAACTCCACAAAATTGTCTTACCGCCATGCAACTCTTATCCAGTAACTTCCACTGGGCCCCCGGACTAGGGGAAAGGATGAGGATAAGGAGGAGGAGGGAGACAGACAGATCGCAAGGTAAAAGACAAATTCAGTTTAATCATTTTACCCAATGCTGCCCAACCTCCCTACTTTCCAACTGACACCAGCCCATATAAACATCACAGCTACTATGTTCAGAAATGGAGTCCAAAATGGAAGAATCATTTCCCGTCCCAAGAGGAGTTTTTCTCGGGATCCTATACTGGTGGGATGAGGACACAGGAGCCAGGAGTATGGAACAGCCATCATTGCCACTTACAGAGGGTCCCTGATGGCTTTCCCAAGTTTTCCAACTTCCAGCAATTTGAAAGTCAGTTCAATTGACTCAGCTCCTTATTTAAAATAGAAATGTCTTTTGGGAAAGTTAATTCACCAGTTAGTCACACCTGAGTATGAGTTACTGTTACTCACCTGATCAAACTGCCTAATTTGAAGGTGGAGGGAGGGGGAAGCAGAGATTTTAGAATAAAAATACATGGAGAAGGGCCTCGGTTACCTATTAATTATAACATTTTTAAGAAATAAACTGGCCGGGCGTGGTGGCTCACACCTGTAATCCCAGCACTTTGGGAGGCCGAGGCAGGTGGATCACGAGGTCAGGAGATCGAGACCATCCTGGCTAACATGGTGAAACCCCGTCTCTACTAAAAAATACAAAAAATTAGCTGGGCGTGGTGGCGGGCACCTGTAGTCCCAGCTACTCGGGAGGCTGAGGCAGGAGAATGGCGGGAACGCGAGAGGCGGAGCTTGCAGTGAGCCGAGATCGCTCCACTGCACTCCAGCCGGGCGGCAGAGCGAGACTCCGTCTCAAACAAACAAACAAAAAGAAATAAGAAATAAACTGCTCTTGGCACTATGTTAAGGATACCAAGTTAGAGTGGAAGATGTCTTTTCTAACTATGCTTAAAAATCTAAAAGGCATTTTGTAAAAATTGATAAATATGACTACATAAGAAATCGTTAAAATGAAAATAACTTCTTCCTAGCAAAAAGAAACCCATAAGCAGAGTCAAAGACAAGTAATAAACAGCAAAAAAATTTTTCACTCATGCCATAAAAACTTTATCTTCATAATACATAAAGAACTATCAAAATCTGTAGGAAAAAGGACCATGAGAATAGGTAAGAATAAAGTCCATTAAAAATGGAAAAAGAAATATTACAGCATTCACAGAAAAAGAAATTCAATGGTTCTTAAATGTATAAAAGAAATAAAAATTAAAATACATATACTATGATGCCATTTTTCACCCATCAGCTTGGCAAAACTCCAACAATTTGATTACTTATGTACTTTGTTGGTGAACCAATAGAGAAACAGGTACCCTAATACATTCCTAGTGATAATATAAACTCATACAATCCTGATTGAGGACAACTGAGTAAAACCTACCAAAATTATAAATGAATAAGCTCTATGATCTACAATTCCATTTCTGGGAATTTATTCTATAAATATGCTTATATGTGCACAAAATAACATATGAACAAAGTTATTCATTGAAGCAATATTGAAGTAACAGCAAAAGATTGGAAACAACCCAGATCACCATTGATAAGGACTGGCTAAATAAATTATGGTACACCCACACTATGAAATTCTATGAAGCTATTCAAGAATAAAGATGCTTTCTATCCACAGATATGAAAGTATCACTGAGATATATCACGAGGAGAAATAAGCAGAAAATTAGGTGCTGTATAATAATTCTTATTATGAAGAAGAGTGGGATGGCAGAGTATAAGAATTGATTCATATGTGCATAAGCATAAAGAAACTCTAGAAGCTGATTTAAGACACCAGTGACAGAATGCCTGGGATGGGGCTGGAGTTGAAACTGAGTGGATGAGGGCAGGAGGGAGAAGAAGATTTTGAATCACAAGAATTATATTATCTATTCAAGAAAAATTAAATTACAAAAGGTACTAAGAAAGTAAGACCCATAGGCTGGGCGGCTCATGCCTGTAATCCCAGCACTTTGGGAGGCTGAGGTGGGCAGATGACCTGAGGTGGGAGTTCAAGACCAGCCTGGCCAACATGGTGAAACTCTGTCTCTACTAAAAATACAACAATTAGCTGGGTGTGGTAGCATGTGTCTGTAATCCCAGTTACTTGGGAAGCTGAGACGGTAGAATTGCTTGAACCCAGGAGGCAGAGGTTACAGTGAGCCGAGATTGCGCCACCACACTCCAGCCTGGGCAACAGAGTGAGACTCCATCTCAAAAAAAAAAAAAAAAGAAAAGAAAGTAAGACACAGACCCTGTCTCAAAGAGCTTACAGGTTACCTGTTGGTTCTCCTACACATCTGCACACAAAAGGATTTACTGAAGTTCTGCTAAATTATGACTTAGAAATGACAACCGTTGTTCCAAGCAGCAAGTGATATAATCAAGCCCAGTGGCATGTCTTCGTCCCACCACACCTCTCCTTGACTGCAGACTTCAATGTCAACACCTGTGTATCTGAACACACCAAGGCCACCTGAGGAGCAAGTGCCCAGCCAGGCCTCCTCCAAGATGCACAGATCTGCCCATCTTTAGAAACACAGAAAGGGTGTCAACGTGGCTTCTATGGATAGGGGCCCCCTGGCAACCCAGCCTCCCAGCCAAGCCCCTTCTCCTGCCACCTCCCCTACCATACGTAGGTGTTTGTATTGGGGTGAAGGGCAGGGACAGCATAGCAGATGCTCTGAGTCCCAGGAAAGTTCCTTACCAAAACAATCTCTTAGTTTGGACTCCTTCAAAGCCAACCCAGAGACAGAAACTCTGGTACACATAGTTTATCTGGGAGATGATTCCAGGAAGCACAGTTAAGGCCTAAAGAAGTAAAACAAGGAGGGGAGGAATCCCAATTAAAGACATGATAAGGAGCAGGTCACCACTGTGGGAAAACTGGGGCTCAATCCCACCCCAGGAACCTCTGAGAGATTGTTTAAAACACATGGCAGGATTGGTCCCCCCACTGGAGGAGGGAGCTGGGATATTGATTCACCAACTCTCATCCCGCATTGGTTGAAGGACATTCTGGCAGGTCATTTTCCCAGCATTTCCATCTTGTACAAGTAAGTGGTGTGCTTATCGGGCTTGAGAATTCTGAAGGCAGAGAGAGGAGACACCACGTCCAGGAACTACATTAAAGTGACCTCAGTGAGCCAAGGGGACATGGCAATAAACCTTCAGCATCTTCTACACTACCTGTCTACACTGGCTGGGGCTGTTATCACAAAAATACCACAGACTTGCCGGGCGCGCTGGCTCACACCTGTAATCCCAGCACTGTGGGAGGCCAAGGCAGGCGGATCACGAGGTCAGGAGATCGAGACCATCCTGGCTAACACGGTGAAACCCCGTCTCTACTAAAAATACAAAAAATTAGCCAGGTGTGGTGGCAGGCTCCTGTAGTCCCAGCTAATCAGGAAGCTGAGGCAGGAGAATGGCGTGAACCCAGAAGGCGGAGCTTGCAGTGAGCCAAGATCGCGCCACTGCACTCCAGCCTGGGTGACAGAGCGAGACTCTGTCTCAAAAAAAAAAAAAAAAAAAAAAAAACCCACAGACTGAGCAGCTCAAACAACAAAAATTCATTCCTCACTGTTGAAACTGACCCAACAGTCCCATAGACAGGATTTTTTTGGATAAACATAGAAATTGACCTTTCTGGTTTAAAGCTTGCAACTTACACTTGTTTTTTCTGAGTTTCTTCCTCAGAAAAGGACCCCCAGGCATCTCCAAAAGTATGAAAGAACTGAAGCTCAACAGATCATGGCATCTGGACAATGAGACACCAGGCCCCTCATTCATCACGATTGCTTCCTTACCCCTCCTGAGTTCCTTTTTTCCTACACACTGTTACTTTTCTGTGCTGATATATAAACCCCTAATTTTACTGGGTAAGGGAGATGGATTTGAGACTGATCTCCCATCTCCTCAGCTGCAGCACCCAATTAAAACCTTCTTCCTTGGTAATAATTGTTGTCTCAGTGATTGGCTTTCTGTGCAGCAAGCAGCAGGACCTAGACCAAACCCCTGGCATTTCAGTAGCACTGTTCTGAAGGTTACAAGCTTAAGATCAAAGTGTCAGTGGATTTCGTGTCTGGTGAGGGCTCTCTTTCTGGCTTGAAAGCCACCTTCTTGCTGTATCCTCACATAGCAGAAAAAGAGATCATCTTTCTCATGTCTCTTCTTATAAGGGCATTAATCCCACTCATGATGGCTCCACCCTCTTGATCTTATTACTTCCAAAGGCCCCACCTCCTAATACCATCACACTGGGGATTCAGGCTTCAATATATGAATTCAGGGTGACACAAACATTCAGTCCATAACTTGCCCTACTCAGAGTTCAAGAGGTTTAACTTGAAGGAGAAAAGACTTATGGAAGAATGCAACAATATTTTCAAATATGTAATGATCTCACACAGAGTTTGTGGAAGTATAAATTACTACAAGCATTTTGGAGGGCATTTAGAAATATCTACTTAAATTAAAAGTCCAGAAACCAACTGGCCCAACCAAGCAATAATTCAGATTTTCCTGATCCTTTCTTTCTTCATTTAATAAACATGTATGTTTACAAGGCATTAGGGAGACAAAGATTAAAATATCATGTTGCTATCCCCACTCATCGAACCTCCTGTCTACACTCTGCCACACCCATCATCACCAAAACTTACCTATTCTATGTCTCATGTCTTTAAAGAGTTGTAAATTAAAATGACTAAAAGGGCCAGCAAGGAACACAAATGAAAGAAGTGAGCTAAAATAATTAACTAGGAAATGTCAGGTGCTGTGGTACCTTGAGAACATAAGCCCCCTTTGAGGTGCTCAAATGCAGTTTAAAAAACAGTATTGTTTTAAAGAAAAAAAAAGTTATCTAAGGCGTCTGCTTCTATCCAAGATGGAATAATGGGAAGCAGATTTACCCTGCCACTGAAATAACCAGGAAACCAGAAAATATATAAGGAGAAAATGGACACCAAAGCCAGTGATCCCTGAGAGAGCAGAAACAAATGAGATAAGCCCTAAGATTACCCCCAGCTTACCGCCTTGAGAAAGTTTCCAGGCCCTGATGCAAGTGGGACCCAGCAGACTCCCTGAGTTGACAAGACATCTGAGAGTCTGGGGAGACTAAGGTAGCTATTGTCTGCAAATCAGATGATCAGAGAGAAGAGAGCCTGGAAGACAGAGAACACCGGAGATCTCCAAAGGGTCCCTCTCAAGTCTTCATGTAAGTAAGGAAACTAACAGAGGCTAGGGAAAGAACTGCTCAAATGGATTAGAGGAAACAGGACCCAACACTCACTCAGGGATGAGAATAGAGCCTGTTCCCATTAGCCAGACCAGAGAAGCCCAGAATTCGTGGGACATTGAGTCGAATACCCAGAAGGGTCTTTCTGAAGTGTCTTACTGAGAATACTCAGTAGTGGGGAATAATTAGCCCTAGACCAGCAGTCTCCAACATTTTTGGCATCAGGGACCAGTTTCATGGAAGACAATTTTTGCCACAAACTGGGGGCAGTAAGGGCAAATGCTTTTGGGATGAAACTGTTCCACCTCATATCATCAGGCGTTAGATTCTCATAAGGGGCGCACAGCCTAGATCCCTCACATGTGCAATTCACAATAGGGTTCATGCTCCTATGAGAATCTAATGCCGCTGATCCAGCAGGAGGCAGAGCTCAGATGGTAATGCTTACCATCATTGGTAATGGTCCATGACTTACCTCCTGCTGTGCGGCCCGGTTCCTAACAGGCCATGGACTACTACTGATCCAAAGCCTGGGGGCTGGGGACCCCTGCCCTAGACTAAACACTGCTCAAGTCCTGTGTAACAAGGTTGACCCTTGAACATGTGTTTGAACTGCACCAGTCCACTTATACATGGATTTTCTTCCATTGTCACCCCTGAGACAAAAACCAATCCATTCTCTTCCTCCTCCTCCTCAGCTTAATCAACATGAAGACAATGAGAATGAAGATCTTTATGATGATCTACTTCCACTTAATGAATAGTTAATATATTTTCTCTTCCTTATGATTTCCTTAATAACACTTTCTTTTCTCTAGCTTACTTTATTGTAAGAATAAAGTACGTAATACATGCAACATATAAAAGACGTATTAATTGACTGTTTATGTTATCAATAAGGCTTCCAGTCAACAGTAGGCTATTGGTAGTTAAGGTTTTGGAAAGCCAAAAGTTATACACAGATTTCTGACTATGTGGGGAGTTGGCAGTTGAAGTGGGTGGATCACCTGAGGTCAGGAGTTCAAGACCAGTCTGGCCAACATGGCGAAACCCCATCTCTACTAAAAATACAAAAATTAGGCCGGGCGTGGTGGCTCATGCCTGTAATCCCAGCACTTTGGGAGGTTGAGGTGGGCAGATTACCTCAGGTCAGGAGTTCGAGACCAGCCTGGCAAACATGGTGAAACCCCATCTCCACTAAAAATACAAAAATTAGCCGGCCGTGGTGGTGCCGCCTGTAATCCCAGTTACTTGGGAGGCTGAGGCTGGAGAATCACTTGAACCTGGGAGGCAGAGGTTGCAGTGAGCTGAGATTGTGCCACTACACTCCAGCCTGGGTGACAGAGCAAGATTGTGTCTCAAAAAAAATAAAAAAATAAAAAAATTAGCCAGGTGTGGTGGTGCATGACTGTAGTCCCAGCTACTCAGGAGGCTGAGGCACAAGAATTGCTTTAACCTGGGAGGCAGAGGTTGCAGTGGGCTGAGATCGCGCCATTACATTTCAAAAAAGAAAAAAGTAAGATCTCAAAGGATCACACTGTTTTCACGTAACTTAGCTCTATCCCAGAATAATAATCACATTAAATATAAATGATCTACATACCATTTATTTTGAAAGTCAGAGATTTTGTCGGGTTGGATTTTTAAAAAGCAACTATATGCTGCCTACAAGAAATGCTCTTTAAATATACAAACAGAAATAGGCTAAACAATAAAAGATAGAATATGGTATACCATGCTAATACTAATAAAAAGCAAGTTTGAGTGGCTGTATTAATATCTAACAAAGTAAGTTTCAGAGTCAATAATATTTGACTATTAATAATAGCTATTTTATATTAATAATTATTCATAATATCATTATTATTCAAATAATATTGCCAGATATTCAAAATACATGAAGCAAGAGCTTATAGAACTGCAAGAATAGATGAAAAAACTTATAGTCAGAGATTTCATACCTCTCTCAATAATTGATAAGACAAATAGACAAAAAATCAATAGGAAAATGAAAGACTTGAACATTATCAACCAACCTAACCTAACTGACATTTAAAGAACACTCCACTCAATGGCAGAATACACATTTTTTTTCAAATGCACACAGAACGTTAACCAAGATAAACCATATTCTGTGTTATAAAATATGTTCCTCGATAAATTTTAAAGGATTCAAGCCAGGCAAAGTGTTAAAAAATCTCTAAAAAATACTCAAACATTTGGAAACTAAATAGCATACTTCAAAATAACCCATGGGTCAACAAAGCAATCAAAAGGAAAAACAGAAAGTATTTAGAAATGGATAAAAATGAAAATGCAACATATCAAAATTTGTGGGATGCCACTGAGGCAGTACTTAGGAGAAATATCATGGCACTAAACATCTATATCAGGAAAGAAAAAAACAAACTAAATTAATGACCTCAGCTTTTGTCTTAACAAACTATATGAAGCAGGGGGGATTAAACCTAAAGTAAGCACAGAGACAAGGTAATAAAGCAGACATGAATAATACAGGAAAAAAGATAAAATCAATAAAAACCAACAGCTGGCTCTTTAAAGGAATTGATAAAACTCATCAGACTGATCAGGAAAAAAGAGAGAAGATACAGATTACCAATATCAGGAATGAGAGAGACAGATGACCTCATTATATATTCTACAGATATTAAAATGATAAAGGAATATTATATATTACTTTATGCTAATAAATTCACCAACTTAGATAAAATGGACAAATTATTTCAAAGACATAATCTACTAAAGCTCATTCAAGAAGAAATAACTAATCTGAATAGCCCTTTATGTATTAAAGGAATTAAATTTGTAGTTAAAAATCTTCCCACAAAGAAAATAGGCCCAGACAGCTTCAAAGGTAAAGTGTACCAAACATTTAGGAAAGAAATACTACTAATTATTATATATACGAACTCTTCCATAAGACTGAAAGGGGGGAGTAATTCCCATAGCATTTATGAAGCCAGCATTATCCAGATACCAAATCAGACCAAAAAAAAAAAAAGAAGAAGAAAACCACAAACTAATATTCCCTCATGAACATATATGCAAAAATTCTGAACAAAATTTCAGCAGATTGAATCCAAAAATATGGAAAAAAGATAATATAAGTAAGATATATCCTAGGAATGCAGGGTTGGTTTAATATTCAAGCAATGTTATTCGTTATATTAACAAATTGAAAGAGAAAAACCACATGATCATATAAATAGATGCTGAAGCATTTGGTAATATCTAATTCTTTTCCTGATTTTAAAATAGTCGAACTCTCAGCAAACCAGGGATAGAAGGGAATTTCCTCAATGTGATAAAGGACATCAATGAAGAACTCATGGCCAATATCATACTTAATGGTGAAAGACTGAAAGTATTCCCCAAAGATCAGGAAAAAGGCAGGAAAGACCACTCTCACCACTTCTTTTCAATATTTCACTGGAGGGCCTACCTGGTGCAATTAGGCAAAAAAGAAGTAAAAGGCAATTAAATTAGAAAGGAAGGAGTAAAACCGTTTTTATGCATAGAAAACATGATTGTTTATGTAGACAACCCAATGGAATCTACAGAAATCTACAAGGACTAATAAGCCACATGCAAAATATATGAAAATCAATCGTATTTCCATAGGATAGCAATGAACAATCAGTTACTAAAATTTTAAAAATGTTCCAGGTAGGGGAAAAACACTTCACACCCCTCCCAGATAATTCACAGGGTTTTCAAAAGCCTCTTATCCCAAGAACTGAATAAATGTGGCATTTCATACAGACTTCACAGGGGTCACATTCTAGGGCACATTTCCCACTGTCCTCAGATTATCCTGCCCTGCCAGACAGATTGTCAGTGAGGCAAGTTCTGATCTCAGAGTAATCTTCTAAGCTCACCACACTGAGTCCAGGGGCTCAAAGAAGTCTCCACCTCACTGACAGGTGAGATACCTTCATGGTTCTAGTCTCTCTACCTACAAAAATGAGGTGACCTGGCCATCCCTACATAAGAGGACAGTTGTTCTGAAGTGGCTGTTCAGTGTGAAAGAATGCCAAGAATGCAGAGAAGGAAGATGAGGAAGTGCCCCATGGTTGAACTTGAGGTTGGCCCTGAACAATCTCTCTCAGTTGCCTCAGTTGTCAAATAGGAAAGTTCCTTAAGCCAAGGAGAAAGGAGACTGAGGATCAAGGCAGAAGCTGCCTCCAGAAGTTCTGAGCCAATGAGTTCCCAGAACAGAGGCCAATGCAAAAAACTTAGAGGATTCAAAAAACCAGCTCCATGGGTAAGGAAGCACAGGGGAATGCAACCCTATCACCTCACAGAGGGCCCCTGTATTAATTTGTTGGGGCTGCCATCACAAAATGCCACAAACTCAATTCGTTTGGCAAGGGTTTTGGCTTAAAAAATAGAAATTTGTTTTCTCCTAATTCTGGAGGCTAGACATCCAAGATCAAGGGGTGGGCAGGGCTTGTTCTTCCAGGTCTCTCTCTCTTGGCTTGTGGATGGCTGTCTTCTCCCTGTGTCCTCACATGGTCTTGCCTCCAAATGTGTCTGTGTCCAAATCTCTTCTTCTTATAAGGACAACAGTCATGATGGATTAGGCACACTCTAATGACCTTGTTTTAACTTAACTACCCCTTTAAAGAGCCTATGCCCAAATACAGTCACATTCTGAGGTATTGGGGAATAGAATTTCAACATATAAATTTGGAGGGGACATAATTTGGCCCATAACCACCCCTCATATCCCTCCTCTTGCCTCTACCCTCTCCCATATATTTCCAGCCTCTGAAAGACACAGGATCCCTGTCAGTTCTTATTACATTTCACAAATGAGGTCAGACAGATGCAGGGTTGTTCTCACACACACCATCTTCCACTTGGTTCAAAGCCCACAGCCACTTCTCCATCAATTCACTTAGGGATCCTTAACGCCTATCACCAAGGTTTCACACCCCTAAAAGCGGGACCCTGAGCTCCAACCACATCTTCCCTCTCCCTCCTGATGCCAGTTAGGCTTTTCTCCCTCACCCTCCCTTGCTCAGTTCATTTCACGATTACAACATCTAGGAAACCAAGATGACCTATTTAGGTTCTGACCCACTTACAACAGAAACACCAATAACCAACTCTGTCCAGAAAAGAAAAAAAAACAGATGACCACAAATGTAACTGATTGTAAGTAAAAAGGAATGGTGGAGAACAAGCCTTCGCAGGTACACCTGCTGTTGATGCCATTGCAAAATATCCTGAAAGGGGAGCTGCCAAGGAAATTTGGACAATACCCAGGTAGCCCCCTTTGGTATCCATGCACTGTGTGGGGTTTGCCAGCCTTGTGAGCAGCCTAGAAAGCAATGAAATAGGTCCTTGTGCCTTGTTTTGCTCAGAGATGGGATGAGCATCTCCAGATGCCTAGAGCAGATGATTTCCTGCCAAGACAGGGGACAACCCAATGCACAGGTGTGAACACCGAGGTATCAAGAGGAATATCGGGTCAGCCTTCTCTATTTCCCCAGACCAAGAATGGATGCAATTAGTTTGGAAGCTTCTGGAATAAAGCCTTTTATAGTAAATATCAATTTGTGTGGCTGCCTGGCTCACAACAGCAGTCTATTTTTCTTTTCTCTGGGAATGGTCCATTTCCTAAGGGCAGTTGTGTCTTTGCTTCATGACCCTTAACCTCCTGGGCATGGCATATCATTCCCAAGAGGGACACCTGATTCAAGCCTGAGCCAATTAGATTCTGTCTGGGGTATGTAAGTCTTAAGGAGCTATAAAAGGCTAGAGATCTTTGGAGTCTCTTAAAGATTCCTGATAAGAGGGCACCAGGGCACCCTGGCAGGCCTGGCTCCTGCTCTTCCAGACACCTGGCTAGTCTCCCTTTCTGTTGATCCTGGAAACCACCCCAAGATCCTTCCTATTAATTGCCCATTTGGCTTATATTTGCCAGGGTTGCTTTCTGTTCATTACCATCAAAGGAATCACAAATGTTATTTCGCTTTTTTCATCTTTTGGTCCCAGTACCTACCACAAGATTTAATATGCGGTAAACATTCAATTACTTTGTTTTAGATTTATGAATGCCCAATATCCCTCCCCACCAATCAACCTCACATGAGATACAATAGAACCTCCTGTGGCGGACAGGAAAATATTGGTTGGTGCCAACCTCTCCTAACAGAAGTTATATGAAGACTCAGGATTTCCCTGATAAGGCAAGACACTCTAAAATTTTCTAGCAGAAACAATAACCTGATATGCGAGATGCAGAGCAGGTCAGACGTGGAGAATATTGGGCCCTAATCTTTGCTGACTTGTAGGTTACATCTGCAGTGAGAAAAAGGGGAACTTCTTGGAGGTGATGGACACTTCACTGACTGGCTGGGATCAGCAACTGTAAAAAAAAAAAGTCTCCTCCCTTTCTGATATGCCTACTTGAGTGAAGGTGGAACTTCACTCATTATATCCTCACTGGGGCTCCTCATGTGTGTATATTCTCTCTACACAACTTCCATCTCTTATCCACCCACCTAGCCAGCCATCCCTCCACCCATGTCTTCATCCATCATCCACCCACCCGCCACCCACTCCAGCTTTCATATTCACTTAGTCCCTGGCCATGCCTCTCAGTAACCATGCCAGTCCCAGAAGTACAGTGGATGGACAATGCTCTAGGGTCACTCCAAGCCCTCCATTCACCCCTAGAGATCTATAGCTTCCTTCTCAATGGTCACTTAATCCCCACCCCTCCCTTCTGTAGTCCAAATTTCACTGTACCAATATTAGTTTCCCCAGATGCCAATTTAACCGCATCAGTTTCCTACTCAAAAACCCTCACCAAAGCCCAAATGCTTACCTTGACATTCAAGGACACCCAAACCGGAACCCAATCTATTTTTTAAACTTTTATCTTTATTCTTCCAAATGTATGTCCAGCAGGAAACTTCTAGTCTCGCAAAAACAGCCTGCTGGCCACCTCACTGCTGAGCAGATGGGTGCAAGCCTGGAGCTTCCAAAAGCCACATTGCCAACACACGGAGAAAAAGAAGCCAATGTAGAGAAAGCGGTACTGAGAGATGGAGAGACAGAGATCCCCAGTGACGTCACTTGAGAACAGAGATCAGGTCTCAAGTTAAGTCTACATATGGATTTCCTGGCTATAACGTCCCTCCCACGTTTGTTTTTTACTTGAGCCTTTTTGTCCTCACAATGGAAAGATTACTAGTACATCCATTTACCCCATATGCCCTATTTTGGGCAATGGCTCTTGTCTCCAATTTCCTATAATATTATGGTCTGTGTCACTCACATGAGCCTTGCCACACACTGCATAGTGACAGCTATTTATTGACCCTTTTACACAGGTAAAAGCCTCTTATTATTACCAATCCCTTCTCACCAACCCCCATGCATCTCAACTTGCTAAAGCCAATGCCTGGTTCAGTGGTCAGAGGGGCAGGCTGGACCATATGACCCAGCAGTTCCATTTCTGGGCATATCCCAAAAAGAATGGAAAGCAGGAACATGGACAGGCAATTTGTACACCCATGTTCACAGCAGCATTTTCCACAACAGCCAAAAGGTGCAACCAGGGGGAGCAGAGACTGTTCAATCGTCCTGAGCTAATGACCCACATTTTCCTTTCAGAGCCCACTCCAGCTAAGCCTTGGACAGCTTCCAGCAGCCAGTCTGGTCAAGTTATCTGCCCACAGGGACCAGCTGGGGGAAGAAGGTGAAAGATGTCAGGGTAGGAGGAGGAAGAAAAGAGAGATGAAAATCAGAGGAAGAGAAAGCCACAGACTCACAAAGGCCACAACTACTGATGGGCACAGCCTGTGAGATGAGGCCAAGGAACACACGGACCAAGAGTGAAGCCACAAGCCAGGCTACTGGAGCAAGACTTGCTCCTTCTGCTTACAGTGCCCATCCCTCCACTTAATCCCCAGCTGCTCCTCAGACAACCCTGCAAGGGAGCCCTCAGAGGGCAGACCTCCCGTAGAGGGCAGGTGCAATAGGGGAAGCTCCAGCTGTCAGCAAAAGTCTGCTGGGCATGTCCTCATTTTGTCCTCCCCTAGCAAAGGCCTGGAGTCTCACTGCCTTTAGAGGCTCAGGTGACCTGATGCAGCCACCACACGGCACTTCAGGAGCCCAAAGGTGGATGCCTGGGAGTCACACCACGGCTTGCATTTGTCTCCCGGGACAGTGTTTCCCCACCATCATTGCAACTCAGAGACCATCTGAGAACAAAAAAGCAAGAGAATTTGTGAGGCCAATGAGGTGCAATGGATGTAAGTTACAGGTAGCCCAGGTCCATTACTCTATTAGTTTGGCAAGGGTTTAAAACAGGGTTTCCCGAGGGCTGTCCGAAGAGCTCTAGGGTTGCAAGTAGATATCTTGGTGTCTCTGCAGAGGGTGGAAAGGAGATGAAAAGTCAGAGCTGTGTGCATCCACATCCCACTTCAGCCTCAGCAGCTCCACTTATGGCTATCTTAGCTTCCTGATTTTGGGCAGAGGCAGGGTGGGGAGTTGTTTTGTGTTAAGCATTTTAACTATTTTTTAGTACATTCATATCGTTTTGCTACCATTGTCACCATCCATCCACAGCACTTTTTCCATCTTGCAAAACTGAAACTCTGTACCCATTAAACAATAACTCCCCATTCCCTGTTCCCCCTAGCTCCTGGAAATCACCATTCTTTCTGTCTCTAGGAATTTGACTACTCTAAGCAGAATTGTACAGTATGTCTTTTTGTGACTGGCTTATTTCACTTAGCATAATGTCATCATGGTTCATTCATATTGTAGCATGTGTCAGAATTTCCTTCCTTTTTAAGGCTAAATCATATTCCATTGTGTGATTTTGTGTGTGTGTGTGTGTGTGTGTGTGTGTTTTGTTTATCCATTTTGCTTATCCATTCACCAGTCGTTGCTTCGTTGGGTTGCTTCCACATTTTGGCTATTGTAAAAAGTGCTGGCCAAGCAGGGTGGCTCATGCCTGTAATCATAGCACTTTGGGAGGCTGAGGCAGGCAGATCACTTGAGTTTAGGAGTTCAAACCAGCCCAGATAACATGGTGAAACCCCATCTCTACAAAAAATACAAAAAAAGTAGCCAGGTATGGTAGCCATGTGCCTATATAGTCCCAGCTATTTGGAGGGGGGTCCTGAGATGAGATAATTGCTTGAGCCCAGGAGTTCAAGGTTATAGTGAGCTATGATCATGCCACTTTACTTTAGCATGGGTGCCAGAGTGAGACTCTGTCTTAAAAAAAAAATGCTGTGATGGACATGGGTGTCCAAATATCTGTTCATGTCACTGCTTTCAATTCCTTTGTGTATATATCCAGAAATGGGACTGCTGGATCATATGGTAATACTATTTTTAATTTTTTTGAGGAACCTCCATACTTTCTATAGCAGCTGCACCATTTTACACTCCCACCAACCATGCACAGGGTTCAATTTCTCCACATCCTCCCCAGCACTTGTTATTTTCTAAGATTTTTTTATAATGGCCATCCTAATGGGTATGCTTTTAAAAAATTAAAAATAAAAAAGCCTCCACTGCTAAGGTTTGGAAAACACTGCTCTAAAGCACTCATCTCTATTACCCTCCCAAGCCCCCCCTGTGTCCCCGTTCACCCTCCATCCATCCACACCATTTGACCCAGCAGACCCAGGCTGAGTGAGCTCTTCCTTCCTACCACTCACCCTCCACGCCATCAGTGTATCATAGCAGATTCCCAGCTCCACACCAGCCAGGCTTTGGATCCAGCCTGCCCACCCCATGCCACTGAGGCCCTAGCTAGCAGGCCACTTAGACTGCATACCCTCAAGAAGCTGCAAACTGCAGCTTCAGTAAGTGGAGAGGCATTGGCAGCTAGGAATTCCTGACTGGGAGGGTGGTAACCTGATGTAGGAGCCACTGCTCTGAGATAAGAGGCCTCAGACATTCCAGGATACCTCCTCGTCCTGGCCAGATGCTTCCAGGCCGGACACCTGGTCATCTCAAGAGCCAAGGCAGCACCAGGACATGAAAAGAGCATTTAAGTCCAGTAATCTCCTGCTGAAAGTCATTCCATGCTACTAACCAGCCATTGACCTTAGGACTTGCAGAAGATTAAAACACTGACCCACCCCCAAACAAGTTCATAGCCTAATCCCAAGAACCTATGACTATGTACCTTATATGCAGATGTGAAGAAGCTAAGGATCCTGAGAGGGAAGATTTTCCTGGATTATCTAGGTGGGCCTGATATAATCACAAGAGTCCTTATAAGTGGGAAGCAGAAATCAGAGAGAGAAGAAGGCAGTTCGACAACAGCAGCAGACAGGGGAGTGGTACAGCCACAAGCCACGGAATATGAACAACCTCTAGAAGCTGGACAGGCCAAGGAACCAAGACTCCCTAGGAACCCCCAGAAGGAACCAACCCTACCAGCACCTTGACTTTGGCTCCATTAAGACTCATTTCAAGGTGACTCGGAGGATGGGGGCCGTTGCCAGAGGAACTAACAATGTGATTGGAGGGTTAAGACCTTCAGCCCCACCCCTAGATCACTGGAAAGGAGAGAGAGGCTGGGGATAGAGCTAATCACCAATGACCACTGACTTAATCAATTATGCCTACATAATAGAACCTCCATCAAAACCCCATAGAACACAGTTCCAAGCGCTTACCAAGTGGTGAACACAGGGAGGTGCTGGGAGGGTGGCACTCCTGGAGAGGGCGTGGAAGTGCTGTGCCCCTTCCCTCATGCTTTGTCCTCTGCATCTCTTCCATTTGGCTGTTCCTGACTTGTATCCTTTATGATAAACTGGTAATAGTAAGTAAAGTGTTTTTTTAAAAATTAAAATTTAAAAAAAGAATCATTTCAGACCTCTGACTCCCAGACCTGTAAAATAATAAATGTGTGTTGTTTAAAGCCATGTGTGTTGCAGTGACTTGTTACAGAAGAAATAGAAAACACATTCAAGACCTCTCTGGGTCTGTTTCCTCCTCTGCAAGATGAAAGGCCCTGGACTAAATACTTCTTTTTGTTACTGTTGTCAGGATACAATTTTCACAATTAATTTTTTTACTTCCTTTCTAGCTCTCCTGACGAGAAAAATTAATTGAGTACTTAAGACATGCCAGGTCCTGTTCTAAGTCCTTAATATGCATTACTTCTTTAAACCTCAAAACAAGGCTGTAATTGAGGCACCATTAGCATCTCCTCCCAGATCAAGAAAATCAAAGCCAAGGAAGGTAAAGTCACTTGCCCAAAGTCACACAGTTGTAAATGGCAGAGTGAGGATTTCAATCCACAGTCTGGCCCTAGAGAAGCCATGATCTTAACCAGCAAGCAAAGCCAATACTGGTGTTCTGGTTAGGGATGAGGAAGCCCAAGACCTGGTCACGGTGACATGGCTAGATAGAAGCAAATCCAGATCTCATGATGCCAGGGATTTCCCCAACACTGCACCCGATTGCCTAGCTTCCAAAGCACATTTGGACAGCAAATGAGAATCATAAGGATCCAGCTGCCCTCTTAGTCTTCAAATCCAACTCTTGCTTAGACTCCCCAGTTCTGTCCCCTCTCTCTACTCTTAACTCCTCTGTTCTTTAAAGGAAGTGAGATAAATGAACCACATGGATGCATTTTCTTTCTCTCCTCCTCCCTACTTCCCCAACTCAGTCTTCGGTTTGCCACCATAAATCACTGGCAACCCAAAAAATTGTTTCAGAGAAAATGGGCCCTCTTGGTTTGATGGATGTGTAAATTTCCATCTCCTCCATATATGTCTTACTTTCCAGAGGAGAAAAAAACCTTTATTGGCATTACCACATTTATATGAGTTTAAATAAAAACAAATACATCTCCACTGACTGTAGTTACTATGCTCAGTTTCATACAATGTAAGCGCTTCAAATAAAAATAGATTGGTTAGAGTGAGGGTGCAGCAGTTCCAATAATGATGCAGCCAGTTTCCATAGAGCATGTGTTTCGGTTAATGCTCCCTCAGCTTGCAGAAGGGGAAGCACATTGCTTCATGGAGCTCTTAGGCTCCATTTTTTCTGACTAAACGCTCCGAGTAGGTGTGAATGTTTATTAGAGTCATGAAATGCATCTGGCAGGCAAAATCTGGACTTCACAGAAGAGACCAAAGTGTAATTGCTGAGGATGGGCTATACTGGGCAGAAAGTACAAATTCTGTGGTGTGCAAGCCCAGCACCAGCCCACCAAATGTATATGCAGCACTTACTGCATGCTTGCCACCAGGCTAGGATGGACACAGGACTGAATACTTATAATTACCTATTTAGGTCTGTCTTCCAAATGGGATTATGGCTCATGAAAGGGAGAGCATCTCTCTGTGTTCTTATCATCACCAGTTCCTTAGTTAGGCTAAATGCATAGGCTTTGGCATTGGATAATCTGGATTCAAATCCCAGATCCAGCATTTAAACAGTAAGCACACATTTATGGAGTACTGACTGTATACCAGAACTGTTCTTGGTGCTGAGGCAGGGAGCAAAGTCTCTGGCCTTCTGGAGCTTACATTCTAGGGTAAGAGGGGTTGATCCCAAGCAAGCTGTATCTCTTGAATGGCAGATTATTCATCAGTATGATGGAGATAATAGGACCTGCTTCATGGGGTTGTTGTGAAAATTAAATAAGAAAATTCCTCTAATGCACAGGGCCTGGCACACAGGAAGGACTCATTGTCAGCTGCTATCATGATCATTGCCAGTTTTCCTATTGGACACCTCCTATGCACCACTTCAGATCCTTCTGGCCTCACCTCATTCCAGCCACTGCTGCAGCAAGCAATTCAGTGTGCCTGCTGACAGGTTCACGCAGGTGCAACTGACAGCCTGGCCACCTTAGGTTCACGTCTAGGACTTCTCACCTCCCACCACAACGCTTGTGTGTTCATGCCAAGCAGGAAGCCTCTGGTCTTGATGTCAGTGTCCAATATGGTTTGGCTGTGTCCCCACCCAAATCTCATCTTGAACTGTAGCTCCCATAATTCCCATGTGTTGTGGCAGAGACCTGGTAGGAGATAATTGAATCATGGGGGCGGTTCCTCCATACTGTTCTCATGGTAGTGTGGTAGTGAATAAGTCTCATGAGATCTAACGGTTTGATAAGGGGTTTCCCCTTTCACTTGGCTCTCCTTCTCTTTTGTCTGCCACCATGTAATATTTGCCTTTCACCATCTGCCATAATTGTGAGGCCTTCCCAGCCACATGGAACTGTGAGTCCATTAAATCTCTTTTTTTTTTTTTTAATAAATAACCCGGTATTGGATATGTCTTTATCAGCATCATGAAAATGGGCTGTTACAGTAAATTACAGTCTACGGTACCAGTAGGCTGGGGTGCTGCTGTAAAGTACCCAAAAATGTGGAAGCGACTTTGGAACTGGGTAACAGGCAGAGGTTGGAACAGTTTGGAGGGCTCAGAAAAAGACATGAAGATGTGGGAAAGTTTGGAACTCCCTAGAGACTTGTTGAATGGCTTTGACCAAAATGCTGATAGTGATATGGACAAAGAAGTCCAGGCTGAGGTGGCCTCAGATGGAGATGAGGAACTTTTGGGAACTGGAGCAAAGGTGACTCTTGCTGTGTTTTAGTAAAGAGACTGGTGGCATTTTGCCCCTGCCCTACAGATCTGTGGAACTTTGAACTTGAGAGAGATGATTTGGGGGATCTGACAGAAGAAATTTCTAAGCAGCAAAGCATTCAAGAGGAACCAGAGCATTAAAGTTTGGAAAATTAGAAGCCTGATGATGCAATAAAAACTAAAAACCCATTTTCTGGGGAGAAATTTAAGCCAGCTGCAGAAATTTGCATAACTAACAAGGAGCCCAATGTTAATCACCAAGACAATGGGGAAAATGTCTCCAGGGCATGTCAGAGACCTTCACAGAAGCCCCTCCCATCAAAAGCCCAGAGGCTTAGTAGGAAAAAATGGGTCCAGAGCCCTCCTGCTGTGTAGCCTAGGGAGCTGGTGTCCTTCATCCCAGCCGCTCCAGCCATGGCTACAAGGGGCCAAGGTATAGCTCAGGCTGTGGCTTCAGAGGGTGCAAGCCCCAAATTTTGGCAGTTTCCACTTGGTGTTGAGCCTCTGGGTACAAAAGTCAAGAATTGAGGTTTGGGAACTTCCACCTAGATTTCAGAGGATGTATGGAAATGCAGAGGTGTGCTTCAGGGATGGAGCCCTCATGAAGAACCTCTGCTAAGGCAGTGTGGAAGGGAAATGTGGGGTGGGAGCCCCCACACAGACTCCCTACTGGGGCACTGCCTAGTGAAGCTGTGAGGAGAGGGCCACAATCCTCCACACCTCAGAATGGTAAATCCACCAACAGCTTGCACTGTGCACCTAAAAAAGCTGCCGACATTCACCGCCAGCCCATGAAAGCAGCCAGGAGGGAGGCTGTACCCCGCAAAACCACAGAGGTGGAGCTGCCCAAGACCATGGGAACCCACCTCTTGCATCAGCATGACCTGGATGTGAGACATGGAGTCAACAGAGATAATTTGGGAGCTTTAAGATTTGACTGCCCCACTGGATTTCAGACTCGCATGGGGCCTGTAGCCCCTTCATTTTGGCCAATTTCTCCCGTTTGGAATGGCTGTTGTTTACTCAATGCCTGTATCCGCATTGTGTCTAGAAAGTAACTAACTTGCTTTTGTTTTTACAGGCTCATAGGCAGAAGGGACTTGCCTTGTCTCAGATGAGACTTTGGACTGTGGACTTTTGAGTTAATGCTGAAATGAGTTAAGACTTTGGGGAACTATTGGGAAGGCATGATTGGTTTTAAAATGTGAGGACATGAGATTTGGGAGGGGCCACAGGTGGAATGATATGG